>NC_000005.10:178018008-178168454 GCF_000001405.40 Homo sapiens | reverse complement strand
TCCTCAAAAGCAATGGAAACAAAAACAAAATTTGACAAGTGGGGCCTAATTAAACTAAAGAGCTTCTGCACAGCAATAGTAACTATCAACAGCATAAATAGACAACCTACAGAATAGAAGAAAATATTTGCAAACTATGCACCTGACAAAGGTCTAATATCCAAAATATATAAGGAACTTAAACAATTGAACAAGCAAAAACCAAATAATCCCATTTAAAAATGGGTAAAAGACATGAACAGACATTTCTCAAAAGAAGATGCCAACAAGTAGCCAACCAGCATATGAAAAAATGTTCAGCATCACTAATCATTAGAGAAATGTAAATCAAAACCACAATGAGATACTACCTCACACCAGTCAGAACAGCTATTATTAAAAAGTCAAAAACAGCAGCTGCTGGCAACGCTGTGGAGAAAAGAGAATGCTAATACACTGCTGCTGGGAATGTCAATTCATCCCACCACTGTGTAAAGTAGTTAGGAGGTTTCTCAAAGAACTTGAAACAGAGCTACAGGCCGGGCGTGGTGGCTCACGCCTGTAATCACAGCACTCTGGGAGGCCGAGGCAGGTGGATCACCTGAGGTCGGGAGTTCGAGACTAGCCTGGCCAACATGGAGAAACCCTATCTCTACTAAAAATACAAAATTAGCTGGGCGTGATGGCACATGCCTGTAATCCCAGCTACTCGGGAGGCTGAGGCAGGAGAATCGCTTGAACCTGGGAGGTGGAGATTGAGGGGAGCTGAGATTGTGCCACTGCACTCCAGCCTGGTCAACAAAAGCAAAACTCTGTCTCCAAAAACAAAAACAAAAACAAACAAACAAAAAACAGAGCCACCATTTGACCCAGCAATCCCATTAGTAGATATATATTAAAAATAAAACAGATTTTTCTACCAAAAAGACACAGGCACATGTATGTTTATCACAGCAATGTTCACAACAGCAAAGATACAGAATCAACCTAGGTGCCCATCAGTGGTGGATTGGATAAAGAAAATGAAGTTCAACTTGAGGGGGAGAAAAAGAGAAAAAAAAATAAAACAAAGATATGAAACATTTAATAAGTAAAAATAATTTTTTTTAATGTGGCACACATTCACCACAGAATACTGTGCAGCCAAAAAACCCGAAATAATGTCCTTGCAGCAACATGGATGCAGCTGGAGGCCATCATCCTAAGCCAATTAATACAGGAACAGAAAACCAAACACTGCAGGTTCTCACTTAGAAGTAGGAGCTAGGCCGGGCGCTGTGGTTCACGCCTGTAATCCCAGCATTTTGGGAGGCCGAGACAGGTGGATCACCTAAGGTCAGGAGTTCAAGACCAGCCTGGCCAACGTGAGAGGAGAGAAAGAGGATGAGTAGTGAAAAACTAACTGTTGGGTACTATACTGAGTACCTGGGCGATGGGAACAATTATACCCCAAACCTCAGCATCACGCAATACACCCCGGTAACAAACTGCACATGGCCTCTCTGAATCCAAAATAAAAACTGAAATTACTTTTAAAAAATGTTAAAAAGCAAAATGCAGAATGCTGTGCGTAGTATGCTACTGTTTCTGTGAAGAGAGGATGGACACTTACTAAGAAAAAGGTGGAAAAAAGGGGAAGGATAGCATTGTGTACTGCATATACATACAGAATATTTGCAGAATGCAGTGTTGGAAGTGGATCCCATCGGTTGCTTCTTTTTAATTTTTTTCTTTTTGTTCGAGATGGAGTCTTGCTCTGTCAACTAGGCTGGTGTGCAATGGCGTGATGCTTTTCTTTTTTAATTTACATTTTTTCCTTTCTCTCGCTTTCTTTCTCTCTCTCTCTTTCTTTCTTTCTTTTCTGAGGGGGCGATTTTAAGTCTTTATTGGGAAGAATACCCACCCACCTTCCCTCACTGCAGACCATACACACACTTGGTGTCAGGGTAGGGGCAGGTTCAGGTGCTACTTCTTTTCCAGAGCAGGTGGCACAAAACGACCCCCCAGGTAATGGTGGCGACCGGGTAACCTGGGTTGCAGACTTTTTGGGTGCTGTGAGGGAGATGAGCAAGTCTGGCTGGATCCCTCCAGAGTTTCCCTTCTCCACATCCCATCCAGAGGGAATGTTGATGCCGGCAGTGGGCACGGTGAATCCCTTCAGGACACTCAGGATGCTGTGGAACGTTCCCGAACATCACCCTCGAAGCTGAAGCCGAAGATGGCATCCACCACCAGCTCATACAGCTCAATCATCACGGGCTCTGAGCGCATTTCCCCAAGGAAAGGGATGTCCATTTTCTGACACGGGGTCACCAACGCAATGAAGAGGGGCTGGTTGGGCCTTTTGGGGTAATAGATGGTTGGCCGGTTAGCCAAAGAGTTTGAGGTGCGCAGCACAGACCAGACCATCTCCTCCATTATTCCCCGGGCCACAGATGACCAGGACAGTAGGGGAGCTCCTGGACATGGACGTGGGGGAATATGCCTTGGCGATGGCTGCGGCGCAGCTCAGCCCGGCCAGCTCCACAAGTCGGGCCACGCTGAACTAGTACTCGTTGAATAGCTCCTGGTCCACGACCTGGGCTTCCTCCTGGCTCAGGTGCTTCACCGCTATGCTCGCCATGACCGCTGAGTCCCAGCGGCCACCCGAGTTCAGCCGCTGCCGTCCCCACGAGGTGGGTCCCGAGCGGCAGGCGCTGGTCTGGCTTTTGATTCGCGCAGGCGCGAGCCGCAACCAGCAGCCTGAGCCCCGGCAGCGCCCGCAGGCCGGACATCCCGCTCGCACGGCGCGCCCCCGGCCCAGCCCGACGCGACCCCGGCGCATCATTTTTTCTTTCTTTAATGTTGTTGTTGTTGTTGAGACAGAAGTCTTGTTTGTTGCCCAGGCTGCTGATAAACTTCCGGGCTCAAGTGATCCTCCCGCCTCGGCCTTCCAAAACACTGGGATTACAGGCGTGAGCCACGGCCCCCAGCCTCAGCTGTTGCATCTGATTGGAAAAACCTGCAGGCACCACCACCGTCCAGATCAGCGGTCAGCGAACTACGACCCGCGGACCCATGCTTGCTTGCTTGCTTGTTTGTTTGTTTTGAGACAGTCTCGCACTGTCACCCAGGCTGATGTGCAGTGACGCGATCTCAGCTCGCTGCAACCTCCGCCTCCCTGGTTCAAGCGATTCTCCTGCCTCAGCCTCCCGCAGGCGCCCACCACCACGCTCGGCTAATTTTTTGTATTTTTAGTAGAGACGGGGTTCCACTATGTTGGCCAGGCTGGTCTGGATCTCCTGACCTCGTGATCCGCCCGCCTCAGCCTCCCAAAGTGCTGGGATTACAGGCATGAGCCACCACACCCGGCCCCCATGTTTTTATAAATAAAGTTTTATTGGTACATAGCCACCCCATTTGATTACATATTGTCTCTGGGTGCTCTCCTACTATAACAGCAGGGCTGAGTGGTTACGATAGAGACTGTATAGTCCACGGAGCCTAAAATGTTTACTGTTTGGCCCTTAACAGAGAACATCTTCTGACCTCGATCTAAATCAGTTGGACTGACACTCAAGCCCTTTGCCTAGCAGGTCCCAAACACCCTCAGCCCAGTTCTCCACGCCCCCCGCAATCCCCCATTCTGGCCTGGCTGCTCTCCTGTCTTTCACGAAGAAAGAGAAAAACAGATGCCTCCTATCTCACGAGAAAAGGAAGGCCAGCAGCGCCAGGTGTCTGCTGCTGGAGAATAAGCACAGGTCAGAAGGGGGGAGGCGCACTGCTCCCTGCCTCTCCTCCTCTCCATGGCCAACGGGAAGCCAGAGGCTGAACAGGTGCCAAGGAATGAATGAGGGAGGGCTGCCTGGGTTCCCCTCCCACCTCGGAACCTGATTTGCTCAGGGGTCTGGGCCTGGCCTCCGTCATTCCACTCCGTTGACGGGAGGGTGAATCAATGGGCTCTAAAGACCCTTCACTAGAAGCGCGCTCACTTTCTAGGGCAGGAGCATGGCCTTTCTGCCTCCTGCGAAGCAAGAGGCCAGATGTCAGACGAGCACGGTCATAAGAAGTACTGACTCCCAGAACCAAAGCCCGCCCTGACTGACTGCTGGCGATTCCACACTGCTCCACGAGGTGGCGGTACAGGCGAGGGAGAGGAGGCCACAGCGGGCTCCCGGGCGACGGGGCCACGCACGGTGGCTCAGGCAGCACAATGCCACCTGCTTTCCCCGCCCGTCACGCCTCAGTGGGAGGTGGAGGCCTTTCTGCCACAACTCACAGATCTCCATTCCCATTTCCACCGTAGGTCTCCCGGTTCCAGCTGCGGCCGCACTTACCGTACATGCACTTGGCTCTCCCAACAGCCTGATGAGGTAGGGACCCTTATTATCCATCCCGAGCCCCCTGGACCTCTTTCCTCTGCCAGCCTGCCCTGCCTCCCCTCTACATTGGTTTTCTTTTCTTTTCCCTCCCTCCCTCCCTTTCTCTTTCTTTTTCTTTCTTTCTCTCTTCTCTCCTTTCTCTTCTTCCTTCCTTCTTTTCTGTCCTCTCCTCTCGTTTCTTCTCTTTTTTCTTTTACTTTCCTAGCCTGCCCTGCCTCACCCTCTACATTGGTCTTCCTTTCTTTTCTTTTTTCTCTTTTCCCTCCCTTCCTTCCTTCCTTTTTTAAAATTTTCTTTCCCAGCCTGCCCTGCCTCGCCCTCTATATTGGTTTTCTTTTCTTTCTTTTTCTTTCTCCTTCCTTCTTTTTTTTTTTTTTCTTTGAGATGGAGCGTCGCTCTGTCACCAGGCTGGAGTGCAGTGGCACAATCTCGGCTCACTGCAACCTCTGCCTCCCAGGTTCAAGTGATTCTCCTGCCTCAGCCTCCCAAGTAGCTGGGATTACAGGGGCCCACTACCACGCCCAGCTAATTTTTGTATTTTTGGTAGAGACAGGGTTTCACCATGTTGGCCAGGCTGGTCTTGAACTTCTGGCCTCAAGTGATCCACCTGCCTCAGCCTCCCAAAGAGCTGGGATTACAAGCGTGAGCCACCATGCCAGGTCCCTGTGTTGGTTTTCACTGAAGTGAATGTGTCCAGAAATCTGGTGCATTCACTCCCTATTGCTGCTGTAACAACTGACCACTCAGTGGCTGAGAACGACACCCATGTATTATCTCACGGTCCTGTACATCGGAAGTCCTGGAGGTCAGGGCTTGGGCTGAAGGTTCCCATCAAAGTCTCCACCTGCCGTGGTATCTCATCTGGTGCTTGGAATCCCCTTCCAGGCTCACTCTTCTTTTTCTTTTTTCTTTTTTTTTTGAGACAGAGTCTCGCTCTGTTGCCCAGGCTGGAGTGCAGTGGAGCAATCTCGGCTCACCGCAAGCTCCACCTCCCAGGTTCACGCCATTCTCCTGCGTCAGCCTCCCGAGTAGCTGGGACTACAGGCACCCGCCACCACGCCCGGCTAATTTTTTGGATTTTTAGTAGAGACGGGGTTTCACCGTGTTAGCCAGGATGGTCTCGATCTCCTGACCTCATGATCCACCCACCTCGGCCTCCCAAAGTGCTGGGATTACAGGCATGAGCCAGCGCACCTGGCCTCAGGCTCACTCTTCTTGCTGGAAGAGTTCAGTTCCTGGTGATTGTAGGACCTGGGTCCCGCCTCCTGTCATCCAGCCACTCTCAGCTCCTGCGGTTACTTTTTGGTCCTCACACATGGTGCCTCCATCCTCACAGCCGGGAGCAGCGTTCAGATCCTGCTTGCTCTTGGGATCTCCGTCATTGCCCCTCTGCCGTCAGTCAGAGAAAGCTCTCTGCTTTAAGGTCTCAAGGGATTACAGTGGGCTAACCCGGATAATCCCGGATTCTCTCCCTGTCTGAGTCGACTGTGCCAAATAAGAAGACATGCAGGAGTGACAGCTCCTCATACTCACAGGTTCTGGGCAGGGCATCTCTGGGGGGCTATCTTAGAAATTCTGTCTGCCTGACCCATCCTCTTGTTCCACTGCCACACCCCATATCTCAAAGTCCTTTTGTGTCCTGTATATCGCTCTCACCAACTCCCTTAGCTCAGCCTCACGGCCATCATCCTGGATCAGGCCACACTCGCAGCCCCCTTGCTGCTCTCATTCTTCCCCCTCTTCCCCAGGCATCCTGCCCACCCTCTGGTTCCCCTGCTGTAGCCTAGATGCTCTTCCAAAAACACAAAGCTAACCATGCTACTCCCCAATTTAAAATCCTGCAGTGGTACCCCAGGAGCTTCAGGGGATGAACAAAAGTCCGTAAAAGTCATTTGTTCAAATGATTTCTGAGGACGGACTCTCCACCAGGCACCTCCTGTAGCTTCCTGCCTTGTAGGATGGGGAGATTCAACCCGGAAGAAGGCTGCAGTAAGCACTAAGGGTGGCTGTTCCAGCCGGCCCTGCCCTCGTTCCCTCCTCACCCCTAGGTCTTCCCAGTACCCTCCTCCTCTACCCTGTCACATCCAACAAATCCTGTAGGGAGCACTTTTCCCAGATCCCTTCCTAGATTCCAGTTCTATATTGCTCCCACGGCTGGTACTTCCCGTGCGGAACCCTTGGGAGACCAGGACTCTCTGTCTAGCTCACCATGGCTCCCCCGATGCCCAGCACAGTGTTGGGCACATAAAGACGCTCAGTAAGTTGTTCTGAATGAAGGGAAAGTCCAATATGCACGGTGCAGACCCAAACCTCGTGAGATTCCCTTTACTCCTAATAATTGTCTGCCTTGTGCCAGTGATTTTTCAGTGAACCTTTAGGGGCCAATGGTCCTGGCCCCCACATCTCCATGGCACAAAGTCTGGAAGGAGGCTGGGTGCCGTGGCTCATACCTGTAGCCCAGCACTTTGGGAGGCTGAGGTGGCAGATCACTTGAGGTCAGGAGTTCAAGACCAGCCTAGGCAACATGGTGAAGCCCCATCTCTACTAAAAATACAAAAATTAGTCGGGCATGGTGGCATGCCTGTAGTCCCAGCTACTTGGGAGGCTGAAGCACGAGAATCACTTGAACCCGGGAGGCAGGGGTTGCAGTGAACCGAGATAGTGGCACCGCACTCCAGCCTGGGTGACAGAGGGAGACTGTCTCAAAAACAAACAACAAGAAAAAACAAAGTCTGGGCCGGGCGCGGTGGCACATGCCTGTAATCCCAGCACTTTGAGAGGCCAAGGCAGGCAGATCATGAGGTCAGGAGATCGAGACCACCCTGGCTAACATGGCGAAACCCTGTCTCTACTAAAAATACACAAAATTATCCAGGCGTGGTGGCAGGCGCCTGTATTCCCAGCTGCTCGGGAGGCTGAGGCAGGATAATGGCATGAACCCGGGAGGCAGAGCTTGCAGTGAGCCGAGATCATGCCACTGCACTCCAGCCTGGGCGACAGAGCGAGACTCCATCTCAAAAAATAATAATAATAATAAAACAAAGTCTGGCAGGAACATCAATGTCAATTCCAAGGGGCCTGGAAGAAGGGAAGGCATTTTCTGGGCACAAGAACAAAAAATGTGACCATCAAGAACTTACTCAAGAGGCCAGGCATGGTGGCTCCCGCCTGTAAGGGAGGCCGAGGTGGGTGGATCACTTGAGGTCAGGAGTCCTAGGCCAACCTGGTCAACATGGTGAAACCCCGTCTCTACTAAAAATACAAAAATTAGCCGGGCGGGGTGGTGGCGCATGCCTGTAATCCCAGCTACTTGGGAGGCTGAGGCAGGAGAATTGCTTGAACCCAGGAGGTCGAGGTTGCAGTGAGTCGAGATCGCACCACTGCACTCCAGCCTGGGCAACAGACCAAGACTCCATTTCAAAAAAAAAAAAAAAAAAAAAAAAAAAGAACTACTTGCTCAAGAGTCCTGTTAAGCAGTGGGTAGCAGCATGGTGCTGTGGAGAAGGGCAGGTTTTGTGCACACGTGGACATACACACGCCCCCAACAATGCCTGCCAGCCTGTAGCAAAACAGCAAAGAAAATGAGAGGGAAAGGCCCCAACAGAGGAAACATTTTTCTGACTTTTGAGACTATGGAAAGTGAATAGAAGAAGGCAATAGATGAAACAGGTGTTGACAGCCACAGCCCAGGAAAGGCTGCAAGGGGACTGCAGGGGAGACCAAGCCACCAGGCACCCCAGGACCAGGAAGCGGGAAGTGAGAGTCAGGACTAAAACAGCTGCTGCACTTGGCATCCGCCACCACCTCCTGTTCCTCTAGAAACCCCCAGACAAAAAATTCATCTCTGGGTCCGGGGGTGGTGGCTCATGCCTATAATCCAAGCGCTTTGGGAGGCCAAGGCAGGAGGATTGCTTGAGGTCAGGAGTTTGAGGCCAGCGTGGGCAACATGGCGAGACTGTCTCTACAAAAAATATAAAAACATGGCAAGACTCTGTCTCTACAAAAAATATAAAAATTAGCCAGGCGTGGTGGCGCATGCCTGTGGTCCCAGCTACTCAGGAGGCTGAAGTGGGAGGATCGCTTGAGCCTGGGATGCAGAGTTTGCAGTGAGCTGTACTTGCACCATTGTACTCCAGCCTGGGCGACAGAGCAAGACTCCATCTCAAAAACGACAAAAACAAAAACAAAACCAAATCTGTCTGGGAAAAGCTCAGACTTTGGTGGCCCAGAGTAAAGCCTGTCTCCAACTGCAACTGGGGATCTGTGGCTGATAATGGATTCAATAGCCACCCCCTCCCCCCAGCCAGAGCCTACAGGTGCCATCCCTCTTGTGGCACACCCTCATGTCAACAATAGACTTTGGGTGGTAATGATGTGACAATGTAAGTTGATCAATTGTAACAAATGTACCCTCTGGTGGAAGATGACAATGGGAGAGGAGGTGCATGCGTGGGGCAGGGGGCAGATAGGAAATCTCTCTACCTCCCTCTCAATGTTGCTATGAGCCTAAGACTCCTCTGTTGAGGGTAAAGCAACTCCATCTTGGATGCTAATCTACTATGTTGGCTTCTGATTAACTCCTGTTCCAGGAAGGCCTCTAAGATTTCCAGTTTATCTATTGTTCCTTGTATAGGAGACTGTACTTACCATCAATCCTACCATTAAATCAAACAGCCTTGATGTTATCATACTTTGCTTGTCCACACATCCCTTCTGTATAACCCTTTCCCTTGGTACAGAAGCTGTGGACCTGGGGATACTGCTGCGGGGATCTACGATTTTGTCTCCCCACCACTGGAGACACAGACGTGGCTTCTGTTCATAAGTCCCTTTGAAATGTTTCTTTCCAAGAAACTGGATTTGTCAGATAACAACGTGTTAAAAATGTAAAGATATTGGAACGTTTATACACTGTTGGTAGGAATGGGGCAGCCACTTTGGAAAACAGCCTAGCCTTTCCCCAAAAAGTTAAACATAGAGTTACCATTTGACCCAGCCATTTTCATTCTGGGTATCTACCCAAGGGAACGGCAAAATATACCCACACAAACATGTGTCCACGAATGTTCATATCAGCATTATTCACAATAGTCAAAAGGTGGAAACAACCCAATCCATGAACTGATGAATGGATAAAATGTGGTATATCTATACAATGGAATATTATTTAATAATAAAGCACTAGGTTGGGCATGGTGGCTCACGCCTGTAATCCCAGCACTTTGGGAGGCAGAGGTGGGCAGATCATGAGGTCAGGAGTTCGAGACCAGCCTGGCCAACATGGTGAAACCCCGTCTCTACTAAACATGCAAAAATTGGCTGGGCGTGGTGGCACGTGCCTGTAATCTCAGCTACTAGAGAGGCTGAGGCAGGAGAATTGCTGGAACCCAGGAGGCAGAGGTTGCAGTGAGCCGAGATCATGCCATTGCACTCCAGCCTGGCCAACAGAGCGAGACTCCATCTCAAAATAATAATAATAATAAAGCACTAATAAATGCTGTAACATGGACAAACCTTGAAAATGTTATTCTAAGTAAAAGAAGCTAGTCACAAAAACTGCATATTACATGATTCTATTTCTATGAAATGTCCAGAACACAGAAATGGATAGAGACAGAACGTAGATTAGTGGTAGCTTAGAGTTCAGGAAAGATAAGGAGGTCAGAGGGTGACAGCTAAAGGGTACAGCGTTTCTTTTTTCTTTTCTTTTTTTTTTTTTTTTTTTGAGGTGGGGGTCTCACTGTGTCACCCTGGCTGGAGTTCATTGGCACAATCACAGCTCCCCACAGCCTTGATCTCCCAGACTCAGGTGGTCCTCCTGCAGGTTAGTCTCGATCTCCTGGGCTCAAGAGATTCTCTCCTGGCCGGGCGCGGTGGCTCACGCCTGTAATCCTAGCACTTTGGGAGGCCGAGGCGGGTGGATCACGAGGTCAGGAGATCGAGACCATCCTGGCTAACACAGTGAAACCCCGTCTCTACTAAAAATACAAAAAATTAGCCAGGCGTGGTGGCGGGTGCCTGTAGTCCCAGCTACTCAAGAGGCTGAGGCAGGAGAATGGCGTGAACCCGGGAGGCGGAGCTTGCAGTGAGCTGAGATCGTGCCACTGCACTCCAACCTGGGTGACAGAGCAAGACTCCGTCTCAAAATAAATAAATAAATAAATAAATAAATAAATAAATAAATAAATCCTCTCCAATTTTTTAAAAGATGGACCTTAGTCCATCTAGATCTAACTTTCTCACTTTATGGTGAAGCACTGACGCCCAGAGAGGCTAAATGACTTGCCTAAAGTCATTTGTCATTTAGAGCTCTGGACCAGTGTCCATTAATTTTTATGTTATCAGCCACTGTACACTGCTTAAAGTAAACTCAGCTGGGCACAGTAGCTCACACCTGTAATCCCAGCACTTTGGGAGTTCGAGGTAGGCAGATCACGTGAGGTCAGGAGTTTGAGACCAGCCTGGCCAACAT
The DNA here is from genome assembly GCF_000001405.40 of Homo sapiens. Lineage (NCBI taxonomy): Eukaryota > Metazoa > Chordata > Mammalia > Primates > Hominidae > Homo > Homo sapiens. The sequence goes on along the minus strand of NC_000005.10, from coordinate 178,157,642 downwards.
GGTGAACCTCTGTCTCTACTAAAATACAAAAGTTAGCCAGGTGTGGTGGTGCATGCCTGTAATCCCAGCTACTTGGGAGGCTGAGGCATGAGACTCGCTTGAACCCGGGAGGCAGAGGTTGCAGTGAGCCGAGATTGCGCTACTGCACTCCAGCTGGGGCAACAGAGCGAGACTCCATCTCAAAAAAAAAAGAAAAAAGAAACAAAAAAGTAAGCTCAAATAGCCATTCCAACAAAATCCATAAAGTAATAAAGTCATGCAAAACAACCTGGGTTCAGAACAGATTTCTGAGTCTGGCTTTAGAAATACACAATGTGTTGGCTGGGCGCAGTGGCTCACACCTGTAATCCCAGCACTTTGGGAGGCCCAGGCAGGCAGATCACAAGGTCAGAGATCGAGACCATCCTGAATAACACAGTGAAACCCCGTCTCTACTCAAAATACAAAAATTAGCTGGGCGTGGCCGGGCGCAGTGGCTCACACCTGTAATCCCAGCACTTTGGGAGGCCGAGGCGGGTGGATCATGAGGTCATGAGTTCAAGACCAGCTTGGCCAAGATGGTGAAACCCCGTCTCTACTAAAACTACAAAAATTAGCTGGGTGCAGTGGCAGGCGTCTGTAATCCCAGCTACTCGGGAGGCTGAGGCAGGAGAATCGCTTGAACCCGGGTGGTGGAGGTTGTGGTGAGCCAAGATCGTGCCACTGCACTCCAGCCTGGGCGACAGAGTGAGACTCTGTCTCAAACAAACAAACAAACCAACAAAAATTAGCTAGGTGTAGTGGCAGGCACCAGTAGTCCCAGCTACTCGGGAGGCTGAGGCAGGAGAATGGCGTGATTCCAGGAGGCAGAGCTTGCAGTGAGCCAAGATGGGGCCACTATACTCCAGCCTGGGTGACAGAGCGAGACTCCGTCTCAAAAAAAAAAAAAGATAAGAAATACACAGTGTGTTAACAACAAAAAAAGAAAACAGGCCAGGTGCGGTGGCTTACATCTGTAATCCCAACACTTTGGGAGGCCAAGGCGAGTGGATCACTTGAGGTCAGGAGTTCGAGGCCAGCCTGGCCAACATGGTAAAACCCTATCTCTCCTAAAAGTACAAAAATTAGCTGGGCATGGTGGCGGGTGCCTGTAATCCCAGCTACTTGGGAGGCTGAGGCAGTAGGATCACTTGAATCTGGGAGGCAGATATTGCAGTGAGCTGAGATCATGCCACAGCCTGGGTGACAAAGGGAGACTCTGTCTTAAAAAAAAAAGGGGGCCGGGCGCGGTGGCTCATGCCTGTAATCCCAGCACTTTGGGAGGCCGAGGCGGGCAGAACATGAGGTCAGGAGATCGAGACCATCCTGGCTAACACGGTGAAACCCTAGTGAAACCCCGTCTCTACTAAAAATACAAAAAATTAGCCGGATGTGGTGGTGGGCACCTGTAGTCCCAGCTACTTGGCAGGCTGAGGCAGGAGAATGGCGTGAACCTGGGAGGCGGAGCTTGCAGTGAGCCGAGATGGTGCCACTGCACTCCAGCCTGGGCCAAAGTGCGAGACTCCATCTCAAAAAAAAAAAAAAGAAAAAAAAAGAAAAAGAAAACACTGTGGTTTTCTGAAGACATATTTGTTCTCAGCACTTCATTGTCTTATGGCTCAAAATGCAGACACGTGTGACCTGGGCCAAGCTGAGGTTCCTACACTTTCACTATTTACGTATCCTTTTGAGCTGAAGTCAAATGTCAAATCACAGGTATGGGTAAAGTCTGGGCTTGGAGACAAGTGGACCTGGGTTCAAATCCAGCTTTGTGTGAGCTGTACCAAACTATTCATCTTTATGTGTGTCAGTAAATTGTGAATATAAAGTTATATATTCCTGGTAAAAGGATGGTAAAGTCTTTACCTTTACCATAGAGGTATTTTTTGGTGAGCACTGAATGAGATATTGTATATAATATGCTCGCCACATAAATGTTAACTTTCTTTTTCCTTCCATGTAAGAGCTGAAGGGACTTCACAACCGAGGCTCTGAGTGAGGTCAGTCAAGCGAGCCCATTTGTTTGAATTTGTTTGAACTGGGTTCTCAGGAGTGAAATTCTCCATCACTCTGCTGGACAGAGTGATTTTTAGTAGAGACGGGGGTTTCACCGTGTTAGCCAGGATGGTCTCGATCTCCTGACCTCATGATCTGCCCGCCTCGGCCTCCCAAAGTGCTGGGATTACAGGCACCGCGCCCAGCCTATTTGTTTTTATTTAATGCAAAACAAAATTTATTGCACTTTAGTTCAGAGTTACAAGGTTTTTGTTGTTGTTGTTTTGTTTTAGAGACAAGATTTTCCTGGGTGGCCCAGACTGGAGTGCAGTGGCTATTCACAGGTGCAGTCATGGCTCACTGAAGCCTCTAACTTCTGGGCTCAAGCGAGCCCCCTCTCAGCCTCCCGGGTAGCTGGAACCACAGGCACGAGTCACCACACCCGGGAAAGGCCAATTTTTAAGTTGGTTTAACTGACCTGTGTTCCCACCCACAACTACCGGAACACTTCTAAGTTTCTACTTACTGGCCTGTTCCAGCAACACAAAAATGGCAGGCCTGCCACATCAGGATCAAAGGTAATTAGTATTACAAATTAGTAATTTGCAGCGATTATCTAATTAATATCCATCCAGAGTTCCAAAATATAGTGGAAGAGGCTAATCAGAGATACCAAGATCCACTGGATCTCGGCCTGCCACCGCCCCCCACGCCCTGGCAGCTCTGTCCCTTTACCTTCTACAGACCCGTCCAAAGGGTAGCTCCTCATAGCTCTCACCCTGCACGGCAGGGAGCTCAGTCCCCAAAGCCTTCCCTCCGCTGTTCCCGGCTTCGCTGGAGCCGTCCTTCCCTCAGCCCCGGCTGGCTTCTCGGCTAGGCCCTCTGCATGTGTAGCGTCAGGCAATGGTAAGAACTGCGGGAAAATAGCGGGTGAAGGGATGCTGGTTTGGAGAGAGAGGGGACGGCAATTTTAGATAAAATCACCAGGGAAACCTCTCCCATGGGAAACACTGAAACGGAACCCTGCGGGATGAGAGTGAGCCACACGCTATCTGTGGAAAAGCGGTGCAGACGCAGGTCAGTGGGGTCATCCCTTGCTCTGTATCTTTCACACCTGCGCAGCCGGGTCCAGGGGTCAGAAAACAAAGAAAAATTATGCAAGAAAGGAGGCAGCCTTAGGCCGGGCGCGGTGGCTCACGCCTGTAATCCCAGCACTTTGGGAGGCCGAGGCGGGCGGATCGCCTGAGGTCAGGAGTTCAAGACCAGCCTGACCAACATGGAGAACCCCTGTCTCTAGTAAAAATACAAAATTATCTGGGCGTGGTGGCGCATGCCTGCAATCCCAGCTACTCGGGAGGCTGAAGTAGGAGAATCGCTTGAACCCGGGAGGCGGAGGTTGCAGTGAGTCGAGATTGCGCCACTGTACCCCAGCCTGGGCAATAAGAGCGAAACTCTGCCTCAAAAAAGAAAAAAAACGAGGCAGCCTTTCCAGCACCCAGAGCCCCGCCCTCTCCGGCCCCGATTCCCAGGGCTCCGCCCCTTGCCTCACATTCCCTCCGCTCCGCCCTAATCGGTTCCGCCCAGTCCCTTGGTCCGGGGATGGCCCCGCCTTAAGGACCATGACTCCGCCCCTCTCCGCTCTCCGTAGTTACGAAGCTGGGCGTCAACGATTGGGCTGAGTCGGAGACTTCCTTTCCTGATTGGCCGTGTTGTACGGCGGCTTCTCGCGCAGCTGATGACCTGGAAGTGATGCCTAAAGCTGTGGACCGCGTGGGCTCGCCTCCCTGGGACTAGGTTTCAGCGGCCGCTGCGATGACCAAAATAAAGGCAGATCCCGACGGGCCCGAGGCTCAGGCGGAGGCGTGTTCCGGGGAGCGCACCTACCAGGAGCTGCTGGTCAACCAGAACCCCATCGCGCAGCCCCTGGCTTCTCGCCGCCTCACGCGGAAGCTCTACAAATGCATCAAGAAAGGTGAGGCGGACGGCGGCGTGGCCGGGATGGGTGCGCGGGTGGGATGGGTGCGCGGGTGGCTGAGCGAGGCCCCCGACCGACTCTTCTGTCGTTGCAGCGGTGAAGCAGAAGCAGATTCGGCGCGGGGTGAAAGAGGTTCAGAAATTTGTCAACAAAGGAGAAAAAGGGTAAGAACCTTCCTTCCTCTGGATTTTGCATTTCTAAACGTTAACGGAGAAATCTCTACTTAGTAGGCGCGCAGTAAAAAGGTTAACTCTGACCTAGCCCCATATACAGAAGCCAATCAAGCAGTCGGTAAAGTCCCTTTGGTACAATACCGGTACGACAATACCGGTACACCACGTATACCAGCTCAAAGTGAATTCCAAAGTGAAGCGAATTGTGTAAGCAAAGTCCCTTAGAGTAAACCCACCTTCATTAATTCAGGGACCCTCCTCCCCGGGCTCCGCTCCTTGCCTCAGATTACCTCCGGCCCCCGCCCTAATCCTCTCAGCCCTGAATCTCAGTCCTAGGGATGACCCCTCTCCGGCTCTGTATTTAAGGAACTGAACGTTAACGTTTTTGTTTGTTTTTGAGATGGGTCTAGCTCTCACCCAGGTTGGAGTGCGGTGGTGCGATCACAGCTCGCTGCAGCCTCGTCCCCCTGGGCTCAAGCGATCCTCCCACCTCAGCCTCCCGAATAGCTGAGACCACCGGCTTGCGCCACGCCTGGCTGTTGTTATTGTTGTTTTGCAGAGACAGAGGAGTCTCGCCATGTTGCCCGGGCTGGTCTTGAACTCCTGGGCTCAAGGAATCCTCCTGCCTCAGCCTCCCGAAGCGTTGGGATTACAGGCATGAGCCACCGCGCCTGGCAGCCTTAACAATTGAATGTACTCTTTTTCAGGCACTGTGTTATGGGGGAAACAGTGACATTCATTCATCAGATAATGACACACACACAACTAATTACACGTTGTGATAGATAGCCATGAAGGAAAATAACAGAGTGCAATGATAACTTCATCACCCCACTTTTCTTAATGGCATTTATCAAAGTTTGAACCTTGTTTACATTTTTCTTCCCTTTATCACCCTCTCAGGCCAGATGGTAAGCTCCTTCAGAACAGGGCCTCCTTGCTTTATCCCAAGAAGTGAAACTGTAGGTGCTCAAGAGATCAATAATGTTGGGCAGACTTGATGCTCAACGGCATCTAACCTAGCTGGGGAGGGCGCATCTGGGGAAGTTTCCCTCAGCAGTCACATTTGAGCTGAGGTCTTAAGACACAGGGATTAATTGGGGGGTGGGTGGGAGGATTCTGCCAGAAGAAAGAGTGGGCCTCTGGGCAGGAGAGGGTCTGGTGAGCAGAAGTGCTACCTTCTTAGGGGGCCTTGTAGGACACAGTAAATTTAGTTTTTATACTCAGCACTTTGGAGGCTATTAGGGGTTAAAGCCAGGAAGTGACATAATTTTTATTATTTTTTACACCCTAAGATTTTTCTGACAATTGAAGAAAGGATTAGAGAGGTACGAGTAGGTTTGGGAAAGTTCAGGTAGTAGACTACTGTAGTCCTGGAGAGGTGATGGTGGAGACAGAGTTAAAGGGGACAGATTTGAAAGGACTTTCAGATGTGGAGAATGGGGAGGTATTGACGACTTCTAGGTTCTGACATGCCCAGCTGGAGGGACAGAGGGCCCAATCTTGAGATGTGAACAGTGGAGGGGGACCAGATTTGTGTAGAAAGATCACAAATTTGGGTCTGGGTAAGTTTTTGAGGTGCTGTAGAGACACATGACTTCCACCCCGCCCCACACCAGGAGAACTGTCAAACAGGCAGATGGCTATAGGGGTTTGGAGCATGGAAGAGAGAGGGCCAGGCTGGAGATAGTACATCTGGGAGTTTTCAGCACATAGATGGCACCTGACCCCATGGCAGTGGCTCCGGTCAGCCAGGAAGAAGGTCCTGAGAGGAGAGGGCAGCCGAGGACAAGGCTGTGAGGAACACTCACAGTGAAAGGCGCTTAACAGAAGGGGAGCCAGCAGAGGGCCCAGAGGAGCACTAGGAGTGCGGAAGCATTCTTTCAGCCGAGGGCTCTGTCCTTGTGTGTCCGCCTGTTATCCAGCATGGGAGAGCAGACTTTTCCTTCTGTGTCTTAGGCTCCTGAGGCCCTTGCCCCCCAGCCTTGACACCTGGCCAGCTAGGAACCCTGGCTGAGTCTCTGGCAAGCTTTCATTGCCTCACTGTCACTCTTGGGACAGAGCCCATGCTTCTTAGCCTGGTACTCAAGGTCTTGGGGGTGTCCCCTGCCAGTCTCTCGGCTGTGTCTGGTGCCGTTCTGATTCTCACACCACATGCTCTCCCCCGCCCCAGCCCCTCCGTGGGCTGCCTGCCACACAGTCATCCATCAGCGTGCTGTTCAAGTGTCACCTCCTGGTTGAACCCTTTTTTGACTCTCCAAAGAGAGCTGAGCTCATACACCTTGGCACCCATCCTGTACTTCACCTGTCCGAGCACTACATCACTTTGGTGGCACCTGTATGTTGCCAAGAGGTAGAGATCACCCCCAAATAGTGTGCTCACCAAACACAATTTTGTCTCTATCCCTAAGACCCAGCCCAGGGCAGCACTTAAAACTGAAAGAAGGAAGGAGCAAGCCAGAGATGACAGTGTTTTCTCTCATTTCAGGATCATGGTTTTGGCAGGAGACACACTGCCCATTGAGGTATACTGCCATCTCCCAGTCATGTGTGAGGACCGAAATTTGCCCTATGTCTATATCCCCTCTAAGACGGTAAGGAGCACGTGGCCCCCTGACCTTGCTCAGCACTGGGGTGTCTGGGATAGTCTGCCATAGCAGGAGAGTGTGGGAAAGAGCCAGGAGTGTTGGAGCTAAGACAGGCCTGGATGGATTCTCAGCTCCACATCTTCTTAGTTTTGGGACTACAGATATGTTACTTCTTGCATTTCAGTTCCCATCTTGTAAAGTGGGAATCCCAGCCCAGGCGCTGTGGCTCACACCTGTAATCCTAGTGCTTTGGGAGGCCAAGACAGGAGGATCAGTTGAGGACAGGAGTTCAGGAATAACCTGCGCAACAAAGTGAGACTCCATCTCTACAAAAAAAATTTTTTTAATTAGCTGGGTGTGGTGGCACATGCCTGTAGTCCCAGCCACTTGGGAGGCTAAAGCAGGAGATCACTTGAACCCAGGAGTTCAAGGCTGCAGTGAGCCATGATCATACACCACCACACTCCAGACTGCATGACAGAGTGAGGCCCTGTCTCAAAAAAAAAAAATAGAGGCTGGGGGTGGATCTTGGGTACCTACAGTATCACTTCTTGGGATAAAGCAGGAGGCCCTGTTCTGAAGGAACTTACCGTTTGGCCTGATGGTAAGAACCAAATAGTCAGTTATCTGTGGACTATGAGAATAAAGAGATAGATGTATGTGAAAGAGCTTTGTAAGCTAAGATGCTTCACCCATGTTAGTCCGGTTAGGTGGGTTTAGGCTCAGAGGGACCTGTAGCTGTCCTTATCTTACGTAACAGGGGCCAGATCTGAGGCACAGGAAGTGGGGGTGGCAGGGACCGGGACAGCCCCTGCTGGGCTGGAGCCCTTTCATAGTTGCCATGTGGGAATGTAGGCCCTGTGTGGCTGGACCATGCCTTCAAAGTCTGATTGAGTTTAAATGATGGCAACCAATTCAAGATGCTTTTAAATAGAACATGGACCGAACAGAACATGGTTGTGGGCCAGATTAGGCTGGTGGGTCATCAGTTGGTGACTTCCTGGCATACAGGTTGTACAGCTTTTTTCCAAACAGCACTTCTTTCCCCTCTGTAGGACCTGGGTGCAGCCGCAGGCTCCAAGCGCCCCACCTGTGTGATAATGGTCAAGCCCCATGAGGAGTACCAGGAGGCTTACGATGAGTGCCTGGAGGAGGTGCAGTCCCTGCCCCTACCCCTATGAGGGGCTCCGGTAGCACCTGGGCACCTGCCGCTGGAAGCTATTGGGCTGGCAGCAGGACGACTGGCTGTCCTCCTGCCCACCCACACTGACGGCATCTTCCCAGTTCCCCAAGGCACGCCTTCTTCCCAGGCAGCTCTAACAGCCCTTTCATGAAGGTAATGCTAGTCTTCTGTCCATCAGTGCCATTTCCTGTAGAACTAAAGGCTGTTCCAAGAATGTGGGGTGGGGAAAGTAAATGCTAAGACTAAAATGTGGTGAGTCTGTGGGTGTTTTCTTAAGCAGCAGCTGCTGGTTGGGCCAGCGAGTTGGTGGGCGGGAAGAGTGAAGCAGTCTTCCTCAGCAGAGAGCCCAAAGGACTCAGAGGGTTCTGTGCTGATGCTCAGCTGCCCAGGGCCGGGTGCTTTGGCTCAAGCTGAGAACTGATCCTGCTGCTATCCCAGCATTTTCAACTCCCTCTTCCAGGGTAGATGGGGGCTGTGAGGTAAGGCAGGGGGCCCAGACCCACTTCATGGAAGCCTAAAGCCCCCACATCAGGAACACCCCCATTCCTAACTTAACCCAGGAGCCTTAAATGCCACTGTGAAGCTTATGGAAGCAATTTACCCACCCACACAGCACATTTTAAATAGGAATATGAAGCTAAAATGCATTCCCCCGAGCTCTCTTGCTTAACATAATGGCCCTAGTAACCCAATCCCTTCAAGTATTTTAGACTTGGGGCCCCTTCCTGCTGTCAGAGGCCCTGCACAGGACTCAGTATACATAACAGCCAAGTTCAGGCACCCTGGAATAAACTGGAAATAGCTTGGGCTTGAGGGTCAGATCTGGTTAAAACTCCAAGCTCTCTCCTTTCTAAGCTGTGAGCCCTGTTGTGCAAGTTACTTCATTTTCCTGAATCCCATTACACGGATTTCTCCTATGGAGTTAGTAAGATCTGGTATGGGTATATGTAAAAGCACCTTGCCCGGGGTCTGACATCTAAGCTCCCCGCAGTCAGGGATGCAAGTTGTGTTCTTCCTGCCTGGACACTGGATACCTGCTGGCCATGTTTTTGTTTGCGGCAGCCACCAGGCCGTGCCCAGTCCCTGTGTGTGGTAGACATGTGGTCATAATTTGTCAGTGAGGCTAAAGGTTGGCCAGGAGAAATGAGAAGGGCAGTAAATACATTTGTTCAAAGTTATAAAACAACGGCATTCCGTTCTAACTGGGACTATTTACAGTGGGAGATGGTACATACTGTTGAGGCTGTAGTGGGAGGAAGAGGTGGGCCACCGCTGGACACTCTTGGGCCGAGGGGCAAGGGTGGACATAGCATTGGCATGGCAGCAAGAGACTTGGCTGAGGGCAGGGGTGGAAGGATGTCTACTGCTGAAGACCAAATCCCTTGCCACTCTGTCGGTTGCTACTAAGTCAAACGCAAACAGAAACAGGAAAAGACAGCAGGAGCACAGAGGCCAGCATCTCCCTTTCCTTATGCCATGGAGCCAGGTGCCAGGCGTGGGCTGGTCCATCTCCCTCCTCAGCCTCTGCCAAAGGGCTGCTCCAGTGCTCCCCTCAGTGGAACTCCTCAGCCAGGCGCTCTGAAACCAACCACAGTCCACTGAAGTTGACCACCCTACCGAGACAGACCAAGGCTCACAGGTGAAAACCCCTTTCAACAAAATTCCTTCCAGGTAGGAATCAGAATATGATGCGTTTCCCATCTGCCGGGTTCTGCTCCATGGGACAGTAGGGACACTTCAGCCTGCAAAGGGAGGAGAACCGAGAACGTCTCAGGGGTGGCCAGTAGGAGAGCCAAGCCAAGGTGGAGTAGAGCACGGGGAACTTACTTTCCTCCATTAATGAGCTTATTGAGTGCATCTCGGGAGATAACATGGCCACAGATGAGCTTGATGGGAGGGTTGGAATCTGACGTCTGCTGGCGGAGGATGGGGCAAGCGAACACGGAGTGGTACCAGCACTTCATGCCTAGTTCAATCTCAATCTGGGAAGGGCAGCGAAGCGGGTGAGTTCCACTTCCTGTCATGGCTGTCCTCCCCAGTACCTCTTGCCCACGATTCCCCAGACCAGGCCTCACCGGTAACTCGTCCTTGTGATTCCAGACCCCAGTGCACTGCCGCTGCTCAATCACAGCCTTGATGTTCATCAACACAGGCAGCGCCACACAGCCAGAGGCAAAGCTGCAGACAAGGAACAGGGGCTAGAGTGGCTCAGATCACAGCAGACAGGCAAAAAGGGCCAGCGCGCCATGCTTCAGCATGGACCTTGAGACAGGGCTCTAAAATGGTGCACGGTCAAATCGGTCCTCAAAGATCCCTCACATTGTTCATAAGATGTCACATATGTACTTATGTATGTCTGACTCTACAGACTCATTCTAATGCACCCCAAAATTTGAGAACCTACAGGGAAGACTTCCTATAGCTCTAGGGGCAGATATCTGCTCATCCTAATGACTGAAAAGTCCTTGGTGTGACTAGGGAACAGTGAGCAGTTCCAAAGGGCCCCAGCCTGCCTGTAGGACGTACCCTGCTGTGTAGTCATAACACATCTTTATAATGGTGGCTATCAACTAGGCCGCCTAACAAATGGAGGTTGGGGTTCCCTTCTCGTGACAGTTGCATGGGGAAGGGAGCCTACTGGCTGGAACCTCAGGTGCTGAATACCCCACAGTGCACAGGGTAGTCCTGCGCAACAGAATCATCCTAAGGTGCTGATGTTGTTCTTGCTGGGAAATGACGTTCTATAAACTGAGTCCATGGTAACAAATCAGATGAGCGTAGAATCAGTCCACTATATTGAGGTGCTGTACTCAGACACCATCAACAGTCTAAATACACAGTGACAGCTGTCCACTGTGGCGGAGTGTGTGGCTCTGGGGTCAGGTTCAAGTGCCCATTATTCCCTGCGAGGCCTTGGGCAAGTGCGTGCACATCTTGGGCCTCCATTTCCTCATCTGTAGAAGGAGGATAACGTGGCTCTCCCTCCCAGGGTTGCTGGGAGCTCTGAGGGAGGTGTCAGCAGCAGTGCTGAATACATATTACTCAACCACTCACATCTCCCCTGAAGGCAAGTGGTGTTTAAGACATTAGGTCATGAGGAAGGCGGGCTGCAGAGGGGCGTGGGTTAGCTGGGAAGGTCTTGCAATGATCCAGGGTGAGGTGCAAGAGAGGCAGGGACCTCATTCAGGAGACCTTACAAAATGGGAACCTTGACCATGCCACTGACCTCATGGTGACCTCGGGCCATAACTCTTCCTAGTCTCAGTTTAACTGTAAAAACAGGTAATTCCTCTCCTGAAGAATGACTAAGAAAGCCAGTTTCGGTCTCTGAAAGCACCGAGCACTGTTCCTGGCACATGGCAGGGCCTTGGCAAATGATGATTACCTCTCTACCCTCCCACCTGTGCTGCCCTCACAGGGCTGGGTTGTACCTGACGCTAAGGGGGGACTCCACAGAAAGCCCCAGCAGGGAACAGGCGTCCCGGGTAAAGGTCTCACAGATCTCTGCCCAGTGGCTGCTGTCCAGCAGGTGGCAGTAGGGTGACTTCTCCAAGCCCAGCCGCAGGTACACCAGGCTGCCCATCATCACCTGGATCTCTACAAGGCAACCAGAGGGGGCAGCTCAGGGGGTGCAGGGCTCTGGGTCCACCCCCAAGCGGGCAGCAGGACTGTGCAGCACAGCACAATATGCTGAGCCCGGTGGCTCCCAAGCCCCTGAGGAGACTGAGCAGGGATGAAAATGCCCTCAGGCAAATTTGACTGTAAAATCCACTGGGGAGGTGGAGGTCCAGGCTGCTTCTGCAGGATGAGAACAGGCATTACTAACACAGAATCAGGAATGAGGACAGTTCTTTTCCAGTTCTCTTTCCTCCCCCACTGCATCAAGGATCAAATAAGTCCTCAGGTTGGCACTGGTGTCTCCACACTAATCTCCATTTAGAGCAACCCCAGGTTAAGAGCTTTCAACAGGCAGCAGTATCTAGCTAAAACTTCAGTCATGTTTTGGGGCCGGGCGTGGTGGCTCATGCCTATAATCCCAGCACTTTGGGAGGCCAAGGTGGGTGCATCACATGAGGCCAGGAGTTTGAGGCCAGCCTGGCCAACATGGTGAAACCCCGTCTCTAATAAAAAATATATAAAGTTAGCCAGACGTGGTTGTGGTGTCAGGCACTTGTTTTTTTTGGTGTGTGTGTTTTTTGTGTGTTTTTTTTTTTTTTTGAGACAGAGTCTCGCTCTGTCGCCAGGCTGGAGTGCTGGAGGGCAGTGGCACAATCTCGGTTCACTGCAGCCTCCGCTTCCCGGGTTCAAGTGATTATCCTACCTCAGCCTCCCGGGTAGCTGGGACTACAGGTGCCCGCCACCACGCCCGGCTAATTTTTCATATTTTTAGTAGAGATGGGGTTTCACCATGTTGGCCAGGATGGTCTCGATCTCTTGACCTCATGATCCACCCGCCTCAGCCTCCCAAAGTGCTGGGATTACAGGTGTGAGCCATCATGCCCGGCCGGTGTCAGGCATTTGTAATCCCAGCTACTCGGGAGGCTGAGGCAGGAGAATCGCTTGAACCTGGGAGGTGGAGGTTGCAGTGAGCCGGGATCACACCACTTACTGCACTCCAGCCTGGGCAACAGAGTGAGACTTTGTCTCAAAAATAAATAATAAATCATGGCTTGGTTTTCATATTTATTTTGAGATAAAATTTAAAATAATAAATATGAGGTGGAACTAAAAAAACAAGTTAGTACAGGTTACTACTTGTAAGCATAGGTGAGACTCAGATTCCAGGTTTGGAAATTCTAGCATGACAGGAAGAGTGCTCAACTGAGTCTTTTTTATTTTATTTTTTGTAGAGATGGGAGCAGGGGCAGGGGTTCCCCATGTTGCCAAGGCTGGTCTCCAGCTCAAGTGATCCGCCCTTTGCTTTGGCCTCCCAAAGTGCTGCAATTACAGGCATGAGCCATCGCACCCAGACAAGTCTTTTTTTTTTTTTCTGAGACGGAGTCTCACTCTGTCACCCAGGCTGGAGTGCAGTGGCGCGATCAAGCTCCGCCTCCCGGGTTCATGCCATTCTCCTGCTTCAGCCTAGTAGCTGGGACTACAAACGCCCGCCACAACGCCCAGCTAATTTTTTTTGTATTTTTAGTAGAGATGGGGTTTTACCATGTTAGCCAAGATGGACCTCATGATCCGCCCACCTCGGCCTCCCAAAATATTGGGATTACAGGCGTGAGCCACCGTGCCTGGCCTTTTTTTTTTTCTTAAAGGACTTTTCCATAGGCCACACAGGTCAGGGAGGCATACGAGGCAGAACAGGTGGGACGGGCATGGCATGCTCTAAATGAGTGTGGTGTGGCGCATAGCAGGCACGAGGACCCTGGGTGGTCTGCGCTGAAGCTATAAACTAAAGGTATGGCAGATGTGAGAGAGGAGGAGTCTAGAGTTCATCCTGGACACGAGGGGTCAGAGAAGTTTCTAGTTGGGGAGAGGCATCTGTGTAACAGACAGCCCCACATGGGTGCAGGGACTGGCAGCCTGATGTAACCTACCACATCCAGACATGTGTCAGGCCAGGCAGCACAACCCCAGCTGCCTGGGCACTCACCCCGCTGGTGCAGCCGAGCAAAGGGCTGGAAGTGCCGAGCATAGCTGAGGGCCTCCAGCTGCTTCGCGGGGCCTCCTGCCAAGAGGCGGATGAAGTGCAGTCGGTGCAGCTTGAACTCCAGGGAGCTGTTGAGTTCCAGCAGGCGCTGCCTGTGGGAGACGGCCCATCTGGGAAGAAAGGGGCCAGTTTAGTGTAGAGCTGGTGGGGGCTAGGACCTGAGAGCCAGCACCTGAGAGGAGGGCCCCAAAAGCCTGTGTGAGGCTCTTGAGACAGGGCTGCAGGCAAGTCAAGTACATCTGGGTGAAATGAAGACCACAGTCAAGCCCTGTGCCCTGAGAGGTCGAAGCAGAATGCTGCTGGCCCACCCAAGGGCCTCCTTACTCCAACGCAGGACCCAGGTCTTGTTCGTGCAGGGCTTCCAGGATTCGATTCAACTCTAGGAAAGGCTGCTTGAAATCCAAGTCCACATTCAGCGTTGATTCCTACAAGGAGAGAGAGAAGAGATCCCACCACTGGAAGATGGTGTTTCCAAAGTTCTCTGCTATGCACATAATAAAAGCTCACCCGCCAAAGACAGGCCAGAGAGCTGGGCTTTGCTTGAGGAGCTTGGTCTCCTGCCAGCCACTTGGGCCTCTCTTGTTCCCATCTCAGTCCTGGGGAGGCTGAGTATGACATGCTGACCTCGAGTGCAGACTGCAGACCCCACCCCACAACCGTAGCAGTGGAGACAGTCCCCAGGCTACGCACTGAGTTGCATGGCGAGAAAATTACTCCTCTTCAATCCTCCTAGTACAGTAGGGAAAATCTTTTACTTTTACCACCAGTGTGTCTTTAACACCTAACAAGTACTACTTTGTCATTTCACTCAGCTCCCTTTTCAATAAAGGGATATGAGGCCTCAGCTCAGAGCCCTGGCTGGCAACCAACTCTAACTAAAAATGAGTAACTTCTCTTTTCATCATATATGTTTTTAAAGCTACCTTCTGCTTCTGGCAGAGGTGCTGATTTCCTTTAGGAAATAAATGGATTTGAGAATGGTAGGGACTTCATACAGTGAAAACTAGCAGGTGAAAGGCAGAGCAGGCAGGTTGTTGCGCCCGCCCAGCCCGACTGTACCTGGCACAGCTCCTCGGCCACGCTGAGCATGCCCTGCTGATACAGGTGTTCCACGATGGCCATCTGCAGGATCTGCTGCTGCTGTTCCCGCGCGTCCCACACCGCATCTGACACAACACCACAGATCTCAGAGTCGAAGTTCTGACGAAGGAGGAGAGACAGGGCCTGGTGATGCGGGCACTCTTGCTGGCTCTCCTTCGAGTCCTTGTACATCCCAGCTTCAGGGTGCTCCCACCCCACGCCTGGAGCCGGCCACGTGCTCACCCTGTCAATGGCTTTGCCCACTCGGGATACACTGCTGTGAATGTCCTTATGGTCCGAAGCCAGTTTCTGCACCGTATCTTTGATCTTCCGGCAGCACTGTGACATCACCAGAGAGAGGGTGGCTGAGAGAGGGGTCCCCTGGAGGGCTGCAGAGAAAGTGGAATAAGGACACAGAGGAGGCAGACTGGGGCACCTGCCTTGGCAGCAGACCTTAGCTCTATTCTAAATGCCAGCCCCGTAGCCCAGGAGGCAGCCCTGAATGCCAGGGTGAAAGAACTAGCTTCTCTTCCAGGTCCTGCCACTTTTTAACTGTCTGACTTGGAACTGCTCAAATGGGAAAAGCCAGTTCACCTCTGGGAGCCTTCATTTCCTCATCTGTGAAATTACTGGTTGCTGTGAAATGAAGATGATCTGGCACTTACTATGGGTCAAGTGTTTATTTCAACTCATGGACTACAGCATGCATAGGATTCTGTTTAACTGCCAGGTTAGACCTAGAGTTACCACCTGATCCAGCAGTTCCACTCCGAAGGATATACCAGAAGAAATAAAAACATATGTCCACACAAAAACTTGTAAGTGAATATTTATAGCAGCAATATTTATAATAGCCAGAAGGTGGAAACAACCCAAATGTCCATCAGCTAGTGGAAAAACATGGCACATCCCTACAGTGGACTATTATTCAGCCATAGAAAGGAATGAAGTGCTGATACAGGCTACAGCATAGATGAGCCTTGAAAACATTCTATTAATCAAAGAAGCCGGACACAAAAGGCTACATGTGGTATGATTCCTTGTATATGAACTGTCCAAAATAGGCAAATCTATAGAGACAAAAAAGAGATTAGTGGTTGCCAGAGGCTAGGGAGAGGGAGGAAATGGAGAGACAGTCAATGGGTTAGGTTTCTTTTGGGGGTGATGAAAATGTTCTGAAATTAGATAGTGGTGAAGATTGTACAACTCTGTAAATATGCTGAAAACCGCTGAGTTGGACTTTATTTTTTAAATTTTCATCTATGTATGTATGTATTTATTTATTTTGAGACCGAGTTATGAGACTGGCTAATACCTGTATTTTTGGTAGACAGGGTTACCATATTACCCAGACTGGTCTCAAACTCCCGGACTCAAGCAATCTACCCGCCTCAAGTTCCCAAAGTGCTGGGATTACAGACATAAGCCACCATGCCCATCCAGAGTTGTACTTTATTTATTTATTTTGATACAGAGTCTTGCTCTGTCACCCAGGCTGGAGTGCAGTGACTTAATCTTGGCTCACTGCAACCTCTGCCTCCTGGGTTCAAGCGATTCTCCTGCCTCAGCCTCTTGAGTAGCTGGGATTACAGGTACATGACACCACGCCCAGCTAATTTTTGTATTTTTTAGTACAGACAGGGTTTCACCATGTTGGCCAGGCTGGTCTCGAACTCCTGACCTTAGGTGATCCACCTGCCTCAGCCTCCCAAAGTGCTGGGATTACAGGCATGAGCCACTGCACCTGGACAGAGTACTTTAAAAGAGTGAGTTTAATGGTAAGTGAATTATAGCTCAATTTTTAAAAAAGACATAGGAACCAGGGACTCCCTCTGGTCAGACCTAAGACAATTTGAACATTAAATAACTGCAATGGATTATAACCTATTGAATAAAATAAGAATATGAGTGTGAAGTGATAATAATGAAAGGAGAAGGGAAAGCTTCTTTTCAGTTGAATGTCAACTAATAAATGTATAAAGAATGACAAAGCAGGAAAAATCACCATGTTGCAGACAGCTTAGTAATAATTCACACAACAATCATTAATGGATACTAAAACTAGTAGGCTGAAATTTGGTAAAGAGCAGGACATTTATATGGTATCAAAGTATCTCCCCACAAACTACTTTTTTTTTTTTTTTGAGACAGTCTCGCTTTGTCACCCATGCTGGAATGCAGTGGCGCGATCTTGGCTCGCTGCAACCTCCACCTCCTGGGTTCAAGCGATTCTCATGCCTCAGCCTCCCAAGTAGCTGGGACTACAGGCATGTGCCACCATGCCCGGCTAATTTTTGTATTTTTAGTAGAGATGTGGTTTTGCCATGTTGACCAGCCTGGTCTCAACCTCCTGGGCTCGAGTGATCCGCCCGCCTCAGCCTCCCAAAGTGCTAGGATTACAGCCCACAAACTACTTAGTGATTACAAAGAAAAATTAGGAAGTTTACAGTGGAAAACCTTAGCAGCGACCATCTTAACTAAGTGATCAAAGTGAAGATCAGGCCAGGTGCAGCGGATCATAATCCCAGCACTTTGGGAGGCTGACACGGGAGGATCACTTGAACCCAGGAGTTCGACACCGTCTTGGACAGCATAGGGAGACCCTGTCTCTACAATAAAAAAAAAAAAAAATTAGCAGGGCCTGGTAGTGTACTGCTGTGGTCCCAGCTACTTCTGAGGCTGAGGTGGTAGGATCACTTGAGCCCAGGAGGTCAAGCCTGCAGTGAGCCAAGATCGTGCCACTGCACTGCAGCCTGGGCAACAAAGTGAGAACTTGTCTCCAAAATAAAAGTGAACAACAGCAATAATGCAATAAAGCAACATCTTGTGTCTTCCAGTGTGATGCACTGAGAAACAAATCACTTCTGAAGTACTGCCAAAAATGCAAAACCTAAGTAATGAGAAAACATCAGACAACTCCAAATTGAGAGACGTTCTGCAAAATAATTGGCCTTAATGCTTCAAAAATACCAATGTCATGGAAGATAAAGGAAGACAGAAGAAATGTCTCAGATTAAAAAAAGTAAAGATTAGACAGGAGAAACTAAATGCAGTGTGTGATCTTGGATTGGTTCTTGGACTGGAAATTAAAATGCTTTATGAAAATTCCTGAACAGCCGGGCATGGTGGCTCACACCTGTAATCCCAGCACTTTGGGAGGCTGAGGCAGGTGGATCACCTGAGATCGGGAGTTCGAGACCAGCCTGGCCAACATGGCAAAACCCTGTCTCTACTAAAAATCCAAAAAAAAAAAAAAAAAAATTAGCCAGGCATGGTGGTACGGGCCTGTAAACCCAGCAACTTGCGAGGCTGAAGCAGGAGAATCTCTTGAACCTGGGAGGCGGAGGTTGCAGTGAACCGAGATTGCGCCATTGCACTCCAGCCTGGGCAATGAGAGCAAAACTCTATATCAAAAAAAAAAAAAAATTCCTGGGACAATGGCAAAATTGAAATGTTGACTACACTGGCTGGGTATGGTGGCTCACACCTATAATCCTAGCACTTTGGGAGACCGAGGCAGGCAGATCACTTGAGGTCAGGAGTTCGAGACCAGCCTAGCCAACATGTCAAAACCCCACCTGTACTAAAAAATACAAAAATTAGCTGCAGGTGGTGGCATGCGCCTTTAATTCCAGCTACTCGGGAAGCTGAGGCACGAGAATTGCTTGAACCCGGGAGGTGGAGGTTGCAGTTGAGCCAAGATCACGCCACTGCACTCCAGCCTGAGCAACAGTAAGACTCCATCTCAAAAAAAAAAAAAGAAATGTGAACTATAGTTATTAGGTAATATTATATCAATGTTTCATTTCTTGGATTGATTTATTTATTTTGTTTTTTGAGACGAGTCTTGCTCTGTTGCCCAGGTTGGAGTGCAGTGGCGTGACCTCGGCTCACTGCAGCCCACCACCATGCCCAGCTAATTTTTGTATTTTTAGTAGAGACAGGGTTTTGCCATGTTGGCCAGGCTGGTTTTAAACTCCTGATCTCAGGTGATCTGTCGGCCTCGGGCTCCCGAAGTGCTGGGATTACAGGCGTGAGCCACTGTGCCTGGCAATTTCTGGGTTTTAATAACTACGCTGTTTTTATGTAAGAGAATGCCCTTGATTTTAGGACATACACACTGAAGGCTTGGGGCTATGTTATCTACAACTTATTTTCAAATGGTTAAAAAGTAATGATCACGGCAAATATGGCAACATATGAGCAGTTGGTGAATCCAAGTAAAGGGTATATATCAGTTCTTTATACTATTCTTGGAATTGGTCTGTAAATTTGAAATTATCTTTAAAATCTTAAAAGCTAAAAATAGGCCAGGCATGGTGGCTCACGCATATAATTCCAGCACTTTGGGAGGCTGAGGCAGGAGGATCACTTGAGCCCCTAGGAGTTAAAGACCAGCCTAGGCAACAAAGACACTGTTTCTACACACACACACACACACACACACACACAATTATAAAATGAAAAAAAGTTAAAAATAGAAAAGTAAGTTGAAAACAAAATGTAAATGGGAATCATCTCAGGTAAATTAATAATTTGTTGGGCTTTTTGAAGTAGCTCAGAGACTGTCATTACCCGGTTTCAAGGAGGCCTACAGATGCAGGTACCAACATCCTCATCATCGTCCTTCCGGAACCCTGTCACTCAGTAGCTTCGGGTCTCCCATGTCCTCAGGGAGGCTGTCGCAGGGCACTTGCAAGGGTGGCCACCCACCTGCGCTGGCCAGCTCAGCCCGCAGCTGGCCCACGTAGTGCAGCAGCTCCTCCAGGCTCCGCTCACAGTGCTGCCCGTAGGTCAGGAACTTCTGCAGGACCTTGTCCAGCTCTCTCTCCACGCACGCACACTGCTCCATGGTGGCCTCAGCCTGGGGAGGGTCAGCTGGGTCAGGCCCCATCTGGGCCACGGTGGCATGGCAGGCAGGGTGCCCAGACCACCTCTTCAGATCCCTCTCACCATTCCCACATCATGTATCAATGTTATATGTTTTGTACATATATGTATATATGTACCTATGTTTTGGTAAGCATATAACATCCCATCTCCTCACTCCACTGGGGTGCCCAGTGGAGGATGCAGGCTGGTGTGAGGACGAGGTTTTTCTTAATCATGGTGAGAAAATTATTATTCCATTTTCAACTCTTTTCATGCCTTAATTTTTGTTCATCTCCCTTTTAAATCAGAATAGAGAGCAGGCCTCACAGAGCCCTTAGCTGGCAATACTATCTAACTAGAAATCCATATACTGCATAATGTCATATTACACGTATGTATTTTCTTTTTTTGAGACAGGCTCTTGTTCTGTTGCCCTGGCTAGAGTGCAGTGGCACAAACTCAGCTCATGGCAACCTTGATCCCCCCAGGCCCAAGGGATTCTCCCACTTTAGCCTCCTGACTAGCTGGGACCACAGGAGTGTGCTTCTACACCTGTCTAATTTAAAATTTTTTTTCGTAGAGACGGGTCTCTCTGTGTTGCCCTGGCTGGTCTCAAACTCCTGGGCTCAAACGATCTTTCCACCTTGGCCTCTCAAAGTGCTGGGATTATAGGCATAAGCCACCATGCCCGGCCCGTGTATTTTCATAGAGTTATTATGGCCACATTCTTACAGTTAGAGGAACTGCTTTTCTACGTACTATAGTAACATAAACCATAAAGGCCGTCCTTGAGTGGCTGATATTTGGAAACACAGCTTGGGGAATAACTGCCAACCATGCTGGCCTGACGGACTTGCCCAGCACTCCTGCCTCACCCTCACCCGCCGCACACCCGAGGACAGGCACAGAACCCTTGCTGTCTCATAGCTGCGTGCCCTGGTACATGCTGCTTCCTCACCTGGCCTGCTCTCCATCACCCTTACCTCCTCGACTACTTGAGAGGCTGGCCCATCACTTCTGAGTTAGCTCAGACGTCAGCGTCTTCAGCAGCTGTCTCTAGCCTGTGCCCACCTAGCTCCCTCTACTCTCACTTTGCACCCTTCTATTTCAGTTTTGGTCACTGGGCCTGCCTCCCCCACCAGACCAGAACCTCTCTTGCTGCAACACAACCTTCCCTCCTCATTATACCATTGAAAGAAAGTTGACTTTTCTTGTCCTATCTCCTCTCCCTACCACTGGGGCTTCCTTCTGTGTCCTTTCTACCCTGGGCCACTGCTCCTTTCCATTTCAGAGCAGCCTTTGACACTGAACACGTGGGCAAACCTCAGAATGTCAGTGACAGAGCTGATCTAGCCCAATGCCCATTCTCAAGAAGGGTACAGAGGAACATCAAAGAGAAAGAGAATCCTATGTCCAAGGTGACCACCAAGATCCTCCCAGTTTCACAGGCTCTCTTCACTCATTCCCTCATTCCCACCAGCATGAGTCCCGGCCTCAGCACCTTGACCCATCTGTAGCCACTGTCTCCCAACCTGACAGGCAACAAGTGACAGTGAAAAGGCACCCAGGGCCTTGGGGGCTGTGTTTCTTCCCTTTTTCCTTACAGCTAATGCTATTACGCTGGAATCTATAGTCAGAGAGTCCAGAAGCTATGCCACCCACCCCCCACCATCCCCTCTGAACAAACACCCTGCAACTGAATGTGACCCATTATGGCAAAATATAACAGGGTCTCCTATCTGAAATGACGTAATTATTATTATTGCTATTATTAACAGCTGACATTCCAAATAGGAGCCTGTTATGTGCCAGGCACCGTTCTAATGACTTTGCATACATTAATTCATTTACCTAATGCTCACGAAAACACTATGAGGTAGGTACAATGATTAGACCCACTTTGCAGATGAGAAAATGAGACACAAAGATTAAATCAGTTGCCCAAGGTCAGGCGTCTGGGAAGTGGAGGAGCTGGGAACTGAACTGAAGCCAGACAGTCTGGCTCTGGCCTCAGAGTCCTTCTCTACGTACTTCACATCACAGGTACTCCCAGGACCAGCTTCACAGGCCACTGTTTCACCAGGAAAGGAAAGAGCAAATATCTGTGTTGGAATGAGTGTACAGCAACCATTAATGATGATGAGAAACAGAAAATTAACCACAGAGCTCGTGAGAATGATCAACTGGGGAAGATGGCAGGACACTAGAATGTTGGCCAAGAGTGTCTGGGAACTAGAATCACAATTTATCAAAAATAAACATGGCTCAAAAAAGCCAGGACCTCACGAAGGTCAAACAATCCGGCCCTGTCAGACACCAAGAGCTACCAGGCTTATCAAAGCCAAGCTCAAATCAGCATCTTGAAATTGTATTTACTACACTTGATCTCAGCGAAAAGGCTGAGAAGCGATAAAATTCTATTTACAAAGCTGAGGAAGGAGATGGGTACGGGATTGCATTGTAGCAAGGAGTGGGAAACAATCTAGGGACCTCATCACTAGAGGAATCAAGTAAGTAAAATGTGGGGGATGCATCTATGGAAACCTGTGGAGCATTTAGAAACTGCATCCCAAATATACCCAGAGCAACATCGACAAGCTCCACACATGGCACTGAGGTGGAAAAAAATGAGGTCTAGGCAGAATCCATTTATGTAAATTAAAAGTATATGCATATAGGCTGGGAGCAGTGGCTCACACCTGTAATCTCAGCATTTTGGGAGGTCAAGGCAGGCAGACTGCTGAGCTCAGGAGTTTGAGACTAGCTTGGGCAACACGGCAAATTTACCTGGGCATGGTGGCACACGCCTGTGGTCCCAGCTCCTCAGAAGGCTGAGGTGGGACGGAGGACTGCTTGAGCCCGGGAGGTCAAGGCTGCAGTCAGCCATGATTATGCCACTGCATTCCAGCCTGAGCAAGAGTGAGACCCTGTCTCAAAAAAACAAAAAACAAAAAGAAGATATACACCAAACACATCAGAATGGTTTCCTGTGGTGAGAAGAGAGGGGAAGAATAGGGACAAAAGGGAATATAAATACAAAGGAGAAAAAGGCCCTGCATGGACCAGTTAAATGTATCATGAACTGAGGAGTGTGATTAACTCAGTAATTTTTTTTTTTTTTTTGTAGACGGTCTCGCTCTGTTGCCCAGGCTGGAATACAGTGGTGCTATCTTGGCTCACTGGCAACCTCCACCTCCCGGGTCCAAGCAATTCTTATGCCTTGGTCTCCCAAGTAGCTGGGATTACAGGTGCACCACCACACCTGGCTTTTTTTTTTTTTCATTTTTGTATTTTTAGTAAAGACGGGGTTTCGCCATTTTGGCCAGGCTGGTCTCGAACTCCTAGCCTCAAGTGATCCACCTGCCTTGGCCTCCCAAAGCACTGGGATTACAGGTGTGAGCCAAATCACCTGGCCAAATTTTTAAAAGTAAAATAAATGAACTGAGAAAACAGAACTGTTCGTGGGTATTCTATCCAAAAAATGCAGGAGGTTAATTCAGTCTGTCTAGAGCAAGCCACTCTGCCTGAATCAGTCAGTCATCTTCACCAGGCGCAAGGAATTGTGTTTGTCTTTGACAAACTTCATGATTAATAGATTGAAATTTCATGTCCACTGGTCCTAAGCCTTCCTCCCCAAGGTCTCACATATACAGAAATTATCCACCAGGATGACCCTCCGAAACACATAGCAGATCCTGTTACCTTTTGCCCAACACTACCATGGTTGACATATAAACCCTTTGCAATAATGTATTTGCTTCCTTTGCACAAGTTGTTCCCATTTTTAGAGTGCCCTCTGCACTTCTTTGTATAGAGTACGTAAGCTGTAGTTAAATTATCACCTCCCCTTGAGCCCTCAGTGAAATCTCCCTGCCTCCTTTTCTGCTTCATAACCTGGCAAGAGTGGCCACACCACACCCATCGAGTCCTCAGCTACTGCAGCACAGTAACAGCCTGTCCACGTCAGCCTCCTCCATTGGTCTGTGAGCTGCTCGATGGCTGGAATGTAGTCTTGTCCTTTCTCCCCCTCAGTGCCCAGACTAGGGCCTGGTCCATGGTAGATGCTCAGTAAACATTTGTTGATTGGGGCAGGGCGCGGTGGCTCACGCCTGTAATCCCAACACTTTGGGAGGCCGAGGCGAGTGGATCATGAGGTCAGGAGATCAAGACCATCCTGGCTAACACGGTGAAACCCCATCTCTACTAAAAAAATACAAAAAATTAGCCGGGTGTGGTGGCGGGCACCCGTAGTCCCAGCTACTCGGGAGGCTGGGGCAGGAGAATGGTGTGAACCCGGGAGGTGGAGCTTGCAGTGAGCCAAGATTGTGCCACTGCACTCCAGCCTGGGAGACAGCGTGAGACTCCGTCTCCAAAAAAAAAAAAAATTGTTGATTGGCCGGCGCAGTGGCTCACACCTGTAATCCCAGCACTTTGGGAGGCTGAGGTGGGTGGCTCACCTGAGGTCAAGAGTTTGAGACCCGCCTGACCAACATGGTGAAACTTCGTCTCTACTAAAAATACAAAAATTACCGAGGCGTGGTGGCGGGCACCTGTAATCCCAGCTACTCAGGAGGCTGAGGCAGGACAATCGCTTGAACCTAGGAGGTGGAGGTTGCAGTGAGCCAAGACCACGCCATTGCACTCCATCCTGGGCAACAAGAGCAAAAACTCCGTCTCAAATTTAAAAAAACACACACACACATTTGCTGATTAAATGACACATCCATTTCCTAACTGCGCTGGAGAACCTGAGCTCAAATGTGTAGGAGTGGGTAGAAAAGAGACATGAGTGAAATATTAAAATCTCCACAAAGGCATGTATGGAGGTTTATCCTGGAGTATTTAGCATCCTGAAACAAGGGGCTCCTGTGTAAGGAGAAAGGAAGTTTGAGCAAATCATAAAGGTCCCTTTTGCCTGACAAAGATTAGACAACATCGGCTGGGCGTGGTGGCTCATGCCTGTAATCCCAGCACTTTGGGAGGCCGAGGCAGGCGGATCACAAGGTCAGGAGTTTGAGACCAGCCTGACCAACATGGCGAAACCCTGTCTCTACTAAAAATACAAAAATTAGCTGGGCGTGGTGGTGCGTGCCTGTAATCCCAGCTACTCGGGAGGCTGAGGCAGGAGAATTGCTTGAACCCAGGAGGCAGAGGTTGCAGTGAGCTGAGATGGCGCCACTGCACTCCAGCCTGGGCGACAGAGTGAGACTGTCTCAAAAAAACAAACAAACAAACAAAAACAAAAAAAAAAGATTAGACAACCTCCATTGACCCAATTCTTAACGCTTTTTTTTTTTTTTTTTTTTTTTTGTGAGGCAGGGTCTCTTCAGTTAATAGGGTTGCTTAAAAAAAAAAAAAAAAAGAGAGAGACAGGGTCTCAATCTGTTTCCCAGGCCAGAGTGCTGTGGTACAATCAGGGCTCACTGCAGCCTCGACCTCCTGGGCTCAAGTGATCCTCCCACCTCAGCCCCCCACCCCAAGAAGCTGGGACTACAGGTGCACCATGTAGTCCCACCATGAACACTCCTGAGTTCATGACACATGTAAGTGGTCCATGCAGGGCCTTTTCTCCTTTGTGTTTATTTATGTATTCCCTTTTGTCCCTATTCTTCCCCTCTCTCCCCACCACACCTGGCTAATTTTTTTGTTGTTTGTTTTTGAGACAGAGTCTTACTCTGTCGCCCAGGCTGGAGTACAGTGGCACGATCTTGGCTCATTGCAACCTTTGCTTCCCAGTTTCAAGCGATTCTCCTGCCTCAGCCTCCCAAGTAGCTGGAATTACAGACACCTGCCACCACACCCGGCTAAATTTTGTATTTTTAGTAGAGACGGGGTTTCACCATGTTGGCCAGGCTGGTCTTGAACTCCTGGCCTCAAGTGATCCTCCCGCCTTGGCCTCCCAAAGTGCTGGGGTTACAAGCGTGAGCCACTGCGCCCAGCCTAATTTTTTGGAGCGACAGGGTTTCACCATGTTGGCCAGGTTGGTCTTGAAGTGCTGAGCTCAAGCCGTCTGCCAGTCTCAGCCTCCCAAAGTGCTGGAATTACGGGCGTGAACCACCGTGCCCAGCCAATTCTTATGCTTTTGCAGCCGCGACCTCCATCCACTCTCTACCCTACATGTCACTCCTCTGCTTAAAACCAAAAGATTTCCACTGTACTTAGAAAAAACTCCACATTCCTCTCTCTGACCTACAGACTCTATGTGACCAAACCCCAATTATCCGACCTCATCTCCTACCACTCTTTCCCTTTCTTACCATACTTTAGCCACACTAGCTTGCTTTCTGTTCCTTGACTATACTCTCAGTTGATTTCTGCCCTAGGGCCTTCACACTGGCTGTTCCCGCTGCCTGGACCACTCTCTTCCCGTATCTTCCTAAGCCTGCCTCCTAATTTGGGTCTCAACGCAAATGTCCCGTCCTCAGAGATGCTCTGCTAGACCACAGTATCTAATACTGACCCCTCCGCCCCACCCTCACACCAGTTACCGTGTCATATCGCCCTCCTCCATTTTTTTTTTTTTTTTACTATACAGTCCTACTTGAAGTTTCTAATCTTTCTTTTCTCATTAACCAAAACTGGAGGGAGGAAAAAGCCCATCATTTTCCCTGGACAGCAGCGCCTACTGGGAGTTTCACCCGCATTAACATGCAAACGACAGGCAAACTCCTAGTCATCCTTCCAAAGACCCTGCTCCATAGCCCTGCCGAGCCCGGTGCGCACCTGCTCACTTCCGACCCAGCGCGGTCGCACGAGGACTGGACGTTTGAGTCCGAGCAACTCCCCCCGGCTGAGGCGGCTCTTCGGGGGCTGGGCCGGGACCTATGAGTCTGGGACTCCAGCTCCCGGCCCAGGGCCGACAACTGCGAAGAGAACAAGCCCAAGGGCAGATTGTTCGGGGCTTAGTCGTGGGTAGCAGGGGTTCTGGAGAAGGCTGGGGCCCGGGAGGCCGGCCGAGCTTTCCCCGCCGCGCGCCTCAGCTCCGCCGGCCGCTGTGCCCGCCCTCGGCCCGCACCTGCCGGCTCCCAAGCCCGCCCGCTCTCACCTCGCCCCGCAGCCCCGGCCCCGGCTTCCGGCGCCACTGTCATCGGAACCGGAAGCCGCGGCGGGCGATCGGCGGCCCGGGCCCGCCCATTGGCGGTTTTGCGGAGGGGTGGCCGTCCCACGAGCCCGCGGCTTTGCGCCTCACCGCCGAGGCTCCCCGCCGCGCATGCCGAGTGGAGTCGCCCGCGGGAACCGGGCGGCGGCCAGAAAAGCCGCGCCTGTAGTCCTCTGGGGGTCGCGCCTGGTCGTTTCCAGGTTCCGAGTCCCTCCGGCCCGGCCCCGGGCCTCCCAGTCGGCGGAAGCCCCTGGCCGCGACCGCTCCTCGCCGGCGGGCGGGTTCCCCACCCGGCAGAGGCGTCGGCCTCGCACTCAACCCAGCACCCGACTCCCGGGTCAGAAGCCCCAAGCCCCAAGTGGTTACGCTTACAGCGCTGCCCGCCCTGCTCAGTGAGGGCGGCGCGGGGGCCGTGAGGGGCAGTGGCTGGGCTAGGTGCGCACCGGCCTCGGCAGGGCTGTGGAGCAGGGTCTTTGGAAGGATGACTAGGAGTTTGCCTGTCGTTTGCATGTTAATGCGGGTGAAACTCCCAGTAGGCGCTGCTGTCCAGGGAAAATGATGGGCTTTTTCCTCTCTCCAGTTTTGGTTAATGAGAAAAGAAAGATTAGAAACTTCAAGTAGGACTGTGAACAGGCTTAGGGATCCTGGACAGAGCCTAGAAATCTCAGGAGAACTGAGAGCTCTTGAAATATGAAGTGATGCTTAAAAAAAAAAAGAAAACTCCAGGCCGGGCGCGGCGGCTCACGCCTGTAATCCCAGCACTTTGGGAGGCCGAGGCGGGCGGATCAGGAGGTCAGGAGATCGAGACCATCCTGGCTAACACGGTGAAACCCCGTCTCTACTAAAAATACAAAAAATTGGCCGGGCGAGGTGGGGGGCGCCTGTAGTCCCAGCCACTCGGGAGGCTGAGGCAGGAGAATGTCGTGAACCCGGGAGGCGGAGCTCGGAGTGAGCCGAGACGGCGCCACTGCACTCCAGCCTGGGCGACAGAGCGAGACTCCGTCTCAAAAAAAAAGAATAGAAAACTCCGGGCCGGGCGGCTCACGCCTGTAATCCCAGCACTTTGGGAGGCTGAGGCGGGCGGAACATAAGGTCAGGAGTTCGAGACCAGCCTGTCCAATATGGTGAAACCCCGTCTGTACTAAAAATACAAAAATTAGCCGGGAATGGTGGCAGGCGCCTGTAGTCCCATGATCCTAGCTACTCGGGAGACTGAGGCAGGAGAATCGTTTGAACCCGAGAGGCGGAGGTTGCAGTGAGCCGAGATCGCGCCATTGCACTCCAGCCTAGGCGACAGAGCGAGACTCCGTCTCAAAAAAAAAAAAAAGAAAAGAAAAGAAAACTCCTTTCCTGTCCCAGCCTTTCTGGTCCCCTTAGCCCGAACTTAATCTGCCCACTGGGTATTCAACAGAATTCAGTTCTGCGGAGGAGGGGGTCCAGCCCTACCCTGCCGCCCTGTGTTGGTCGCTGTCCTGGGGAACGGGGGAAGGGGAGAAGATGGGAGCTGCCCATCTGCCCTAAGGAGGAAGGGTGAGGGTTAGGAAGGAGGAGGGAACAGGCACTGACCCCAAACCCAGGTCCAGACTGAATTTTCTTTTTCTTTTTTTGAGATGAAGTCTTGCTCTGTTGCCCAGGCTGGAGTGCAGTGGTGTGATCTCGGTTCACTGCAACCTCCACCTCCAAGCTTCGAGCGATTGTCCTGCCTCAGCTCCATGAGTAACAGATTACAGACATGCTCCACCATGCCCGGCTAATTTTTGTATTTTTAGTAGAGAGGGGATTTTGCCATGTTGGCCAGGCTGGTCTCAAACTCCTGACCTCAGGTGATCCACCCACCACAGCCTCCCAAATTGCTGGGATTACAGGCATGAACCACCACACCCAGCCCCAGATTGAATTTTCTATCCCGGACCCTCTGCTCTGGAGGGAAAGAGTAGAGAAGTCCCCACTCCTCCTCAGGCCTCAGCTGGGACTAGGAACAGCCCTGGAGAAAAAGCCAGGTCTCTGTGTTGCCCACTTCTGCTCCCTTTTTGGTTGGGCCTCATTCCAGGCCATCCTCCCCTTGAATCCTCCATGCCTTCCCCTCCCTCCCCTTTGCACAACTTACTTTTTTTTTTTTTTTCAAAATAGAGAGGTGGTCTCCCTATGTTGCCCAAGCTGGTTGCGAACTCTTGGCCTCAAGAGATCCTCCCCTCTCAGCCTTTGGAAGTATTGGGATTACAGGAATGAGCCACCATTCCTTGCCCTGTTTTCTTTTTTTTTTTTTTTTTTGAGACGGAGTCTTGCTCTGTCGCCCAGGCTGGAGTACAATGGCATAATCTTGGCTCACTGCAACCTCCGCCTGCCAGGTTCAAGCAATTCTCCTGCTTCAGCCTCCTGAGTAGCTGGGACTACAGGTGCACACCACCATGCCTGGCTAATTTTTTGTATTGTTAGTAGAGACGGGGTTTCACCATGCTGGCCAGGCTGGTCTTGAACTCCTAACCTCGCGATCCGCCTGCTTCGGCCTCCCGAAGTGCTGGGACTACAGGCGTGAGCCACCGCACCCAGCCGACCTGTTTTCTTTATAGCACTTGGAAGTTATCTTGCGTGTTTATTTGTTCATTCTGTCTTCTGGCCCCCACTCCCATCACCCTCTTTGGGGCCAGACATGGTGGCTCACGCCTGTAATCCCAGCACTTTAGGAGGCTGAGGAGGGAGGAATGCTTGTGCCTAGGAGTTCTAGACCAGTCTGGACAACATAGGGAGACCCTGTCTGTACAAATAATACAAAAATTAGCCGGGTGTGGTGGTGCACATCTGTAGTCTCAGCTACTTGGGAGGCTGAGATGGGAGGCTGCCTAGGAGGTCGAGGCTGCAGTGAGCAGTGATCGCGCCACTACTCCAGCCTAGATAACAGAGTGTGAGAGACCCTGTCTCAAAAACAAACAAACATGGGCCAGGCGTGGTGGCTCATACCTGTAATCCCAGTACTTTGGGAGGCCAAGGCGGGTGGATCATTTGAGGTCAGGAATTCAAGACCAGCCTGGCCAACATGGTGAAACCCTGTCTCTACTGAAAATACAAAAAAAAAAAAAAATTAGCCAGGCATAGTGGCAGACACCTGTAATCCCAGCTACTTCGGAGGCCGAGGCAGGAGAATCGCTTGAGCCCGGGAGGCGGAGGTTGCGGTGAGCCAAGATTGCACCACTACACTCCAGCCTGGGCAACAGAGTGAGACCCTGTCTCAAAACAAAACAAAAACGAACAACAAAAAAAAAAATTCCACCAGGCCCATGTTTTGTCTTCATCACTGCCTTATCGCCAACACCATATGCTTTGCACACAGGAGGTACTCAGAGATACTCAAGAAGCCAGTGTCCTCCACGTATACATAAGGAAACTGCGGCTCAAAAACCTTATGATATATAGCAGGGGAGAAGGCCCACAGCAGGACTGTGTGCCTGCAGGGGCGTCAGGAGGGCGGATCCCAGAGATGCCTGCCCAAGCATGAGGAGCCTGGGTGGCCCTGGCCCAAACGGAAGCCATAGGGGTGGAGAGTTGATTGAACCTTGCCTTGGTGCCAAGGGGCCCAAGCCACCTTCCAGCCAACCTGACCTCACAGGCTTTGGCAAATGCCCCAGGCTTCCCCACTTCCTCTCCGGGAGCCTTGGCCTGCCTCACAGCCAAGAAGGATGTGAGCAAAGTTGAGGTTCTCCCCCAGTATGTGGCCATCCTTGCATCTTGGTATTATTTTCAAGTGTGCACCAAGTTGTATTAAATAGTTGACTTTGTCCATCTTTCCCCATAGGGATTGTTTTTGATTTTTGTTAGGGATGGGGAGGATTCCTTCAAAGCAATCAATTCTCCCATTAATTCAGTAATAATTGAATTAACTTTTTGCCAGCGTAGAAGTTTTAAACATTCCCTGTATTCTCCGAAGCTTCAATAATTTGAGTCTCTGGAATAAAATTGACAGTAGACAGATTAATAGGAGAAAAGGCATGCAAATTTATTACATACATGCACAGGAGTCCCACAAAATGTGAGACTCTAGTAAGGGCCAGACTGATGAAGTCTAAATAGCATTTGAGCTCCAAAAACTGGGGCCTGAGGTTTCTGGGAGGAGGTGGCAGCAGACGCTAGGAGGTTGAGGGGAGGAAATGCATGGCAAACAAAGGCTGTCTTGTCATGCAGATAAAACCTCTCAAGCAGCCCAGTCCTCAGAAGAGATGGTATCACCTTCAGTATCCTTTCCTGTGAGTTAATTGTCCATGTTTTATGAGATGCTAGGGAAAGGGCTCAAGACAATGGCATTCCTTCTGCAGGAACTTCCCTTAGAAACAAAAGAGAACATCAGAGAAGGCCCCTCCCTGCGCTTCAGGAGGGTTTTGGGAGGGAAAAGGAGTGAGCGATGGTCAGATACTTTAGTTCAAAGCATTCAGCCTCCCACAGCTTCATACTTTGGGGTATCATTTTCTGAGCCCCACCACCAATTTCCTAGGATAGGATTTTTAAAATTTAACTCAATAAATGCAGGGGTGGGCCAAGCGCCGTGGCCCACGCCCATAATCCGAGCACTTTGGGAGGCTGAGGCGGGTGGATCACGAGGTTAGGAGATCGAGACCATCCTGGCTAACATGGTGAAATCCTGTCTGTACTAAAAATACAAAAAATTAGCCAGGCGTCGTGGCAGGCGCCTGTAGTCTCAGCTACTCAGGAGGCTGAGGCAGAAGAACTGCTTGAACTCGGGAGGCGGAGGTTGCAGTGAGCTGAGGTCACGCCACTGCACTCCTGGGCAACACAGTGAGACTCCATCTCAAAAAAATAAATAAAATAAAATAATAAAATAAATGCAGGGGTGGCACATAGTATGACTTTTTTCCCAAATTTTTATCCAGTTATCCCAGCACCGCTTGTTAAAGCATCCTTCCTTACCCTTATTTTGAAGTCCTTTATTGTGTAAGATTTTCTACAGAATAGAATCTATTTCTGGCTCTTCATTCTTTCCATGAGGTGTAGATTATTTTTACACCAATGTCGTATTTTTCTTGCTACTTTGTAATATGTTCTAATATTACATATTAGAGCAAAGGAATTAAATACCGCTCACAAAAAAGGAAAGAGAAAAAACCCCATACGGTTATTGTGAAAGCAGATCAGTGGTTGCCAGGGGCTGGGGTGGGGCGGGGGGTGGACTAGAGGGCCACAGGAGAATGCTGGGGGGGTGACAGAACTGTATCTTCATTGTTGGGTTCGTTACATAACTCTGCATTTGCCAAAACTCTAAGTAAGCCCAAAGCAAAATGAAACCATGAGACCCACCTCCTGGACGGATGAGTGAGCCAGCTGGGAACTCCCATGGCCCTCCAGCCTCTCCTCTCGTGACATAATCACTTTTGTTTTTGTTGCAAGAAGCATCATTCTTTTTCTTTTCTGAATCCAATATGGATGCCTAAGCCCCCACCTGCCAAGGGGGATGGGTTATCAATATCTGAACCGTCACTGCAGGGCCTGCGCCCTCTTTGCAGAAACCTCAACACTTACATTCCGTGAGTCTCAGAGAAATGTACCCAGCCCCACAGATAGGCTTCCTCTGCCTGCTCCATGCTCTGCTGACCCATGCCACCATGGAGGCCCCTCTGTTGTCCCTAGTTCTGTCTGAACACTTCTGGATTCTCTTCTGTTCTCTTTTCCGCCTGCCTGGCCCCAGTCACTATTTGGAGCGGCCTTCACTACCTCTGACATGTGTGGTCTCCCTCCCCCACCCACAGGTAAGCCCTATCAGGGCAGGGGACCGAGGGCCTTGGCCACCTTGGCTTCCTCACCTGAGAAGGCCCCAAATACATCACTGGAACGAATGGCAGCTGCCCCTGGAGTCCCTGTGCTTGGCACAGACCTGGTGCCCACGGATGGTGAACGAACATTCAGAGTAAGTCTTCCCCATCCACCCCACCCCAAGCTCAAACCCATTCTAGTATTGGGGGGTCTCTGGTTGCTCCTGACTCCACATCCCACCAGTGCCTTCTGGAGCTGTGGTGAAGACACCACCCTACCCCGGCAATGCCCACAGCTCAAAGGAGACAGGCAAACCAACAATTACAGCAGCACAGAAAGAGCTGACGGAGATTGGCATGGGGGCTGTGGGCGCAGGGAGGAGGGAGTGCCCAGGCAGGGGAGGCGGTGAGTTCAGGGCAGGTTTCTCAGAGCACTGAGGGGCTCTGCCTGCAGGATGAGGGCTCAGAGGGCTACAAGGGCTTGCCAAGGTAAGGAGGAGGCACCACTATCAGTGACTCGAGGCCACTAGTGTGTCAGAAGCCTGAAGGGATGGACCAAGAGGCCCAGGGAGCTGCTGGAAGGGATGACACTGAGTGAAGGACTGGAGGCCCCAGAGGCAGGGAGCCCAGCACCAGGAGGCTGCCACCTTCCGCAGAGCAGGCTGCCCGGACCAAGCCTGTTGGGGAGGGGCTGCAGGGAAGGCTAAGCCAGGGCAGCTGGGAAGCTGAGGCCCCGCCAGCTGGAGGGAGGGGCTGCCCTGAGGTGGTAGCCACTACGGTGACACCTGTGATCAGTGACACCTGTGGTCGGTTGGCCCCAGAGCCACCCAGCCGGCTGGGGGACCCAGGAACTGGTTTGTCCAGCCTGGATGAGCTGACGGGGATCCAGCTCCGAGACGCCCCAGGCTCAGGTTCAGCTCTCGTGCCCTCCCCCTACATCTGGGCCTGGCTTTGGTTTCTGGCACAGCTGCCAAGTTTTGGTGCCTCCCACCCACTCCCCACTGGCTGTACTGGCCAGCCCAGCTCCCTAATCGCTGGGTGGGGAACTGTTCTGCCGAGCTGGTATACCAAGGTGGACCCTGGCACCAGGTGTGTGGGCCCCTGGCTTGACAGGCCCCTGGCCATGGAGGCTGTGATCAAGGCATCTGGCCAGCACCTGGCTCTGAGGGGCCCTCTGGAGGAGCCATTGTCCCAGAGATTTCCGTTTGGGGTTTGGGGTTTGGAGGAGTTTGTGAAATGGGAATGGGTACCAAGGGGGTGTGTAGACGACTGGCCTGCCTGACCTGGCCACTCCCCCTTTCCCTCCTCAGGCAGACAGGAGCTCAGGTGTGGGCCTGTATGGGTCTCAGATAGGCCTAGGGGATCTGTCTGGGACACAGGCTCCACCCAAGCCTGGCCAGTGCCAAGACAGACTGGGGCTGACAGGAAGGAATGGGGTAGAGGGTGGGGCCAAGAAGGGGCCTGCACTGTCTCCAACCCAGACACTGGCTTTTGGAGGCCAGGCTCCCAAACACACCCCCTCAGACACACCCACCACCCACAAGCACATCTTTACACACACCTGCCACTTACATGGCCATAAACACACCATCCCCACAGCAGACAGTGCACACGCCTCATTCTCTGCCCTGAAAAAGGGGGCCCCCCCAGCTCATGCCTCACACCCGTCCCCTGACATCCATGTGCACTAACTCCACTTCACAACCAGGACCCACCTGTGGGGCCTGAGGGGCTGCCAGGCACGGCCAGGGTAGCCAAAGGGAGTGAGGTGGGGCTCTCTGCAGATAACTTCTCAGAAGTTCCCTGAGCTGCCCTGTCAGGGAAGAGACTGGTGAGCTGACATCAGTGTGCAGGGCCCCCTGCGGCAGGAGCTCATCTAATTCAGCCTGTGCCCCCACACTCACAAGGGCCCAGCACAGCACCTGGCGCCCAGTAAGCACGCAATGCATGGCAGCCCGTCCAACGATGAGCGCGTAAGAAAGCTGAGCTTCCCTCAAAGGAAGGGAGAGACGCCACTCACACAGCCAGACAGAACCTGTGTTCCAGGCCGGGCACCCAGCGGGGGAGCAAAGGCCCAGAGGGCAAGCCAGGCCTCTGAGAGACCAAAGGCAGGTGTGGGTTTTAGGGACCAGCCTTAGCTGAGAGCAGGGATCCGGGAGGACTGACCGTCCTGGAGCCCAGCGCAGGACAGAGGCAAGGTGGGGTGGGGAATGCTTCCTCCTGGGAGAGCTTTCCAGAATGCAAATCAATCATATTTCACCCCTACTTAATAATGCCCTAGAGCCCCGTTGCTGATGGGGAAATGTTCCCATTCCTTGCTGTGGTAAAGGCTCTTTACCAAGAAACCCATAAGCTTGCCCACCTCCTCTCCTGCACCTTCCTACGAACAGGGAATGAGGCAGAGCACTTCTAGGGGCCCCCCACTCCTATGGAGGGAGGGAGGGAGACAGGAGGTGGGTGCGGGGAGGGGCATGGCCTGAGCCTGTGGATACTCCTGGGGCCCAGCCTTCCCACCAAGAAGACATTTCATGTTCTCAAAATGCCTTGGTTGACTTGCCCTTTGTTTTTTTGGCATTCCCTGGTGTTGTTCCTTCTGAAAACTCCACTGGTGCTAAAGAAAGGAATTTCAGCCCACACGGCAGCTAAGGAACCGTGTGGGGCTGAGGCAAGGAGTAGGACTCCTCTGCTCCCAACACACATGCCCAGTGGCCATGCAGACAGGCGCAGGGCACACCCTCCCACTGACCACTGGCCATGGGAGGAGCTACTGCCCAGGTCAACAGCCTCAATCCCGACCATCCATCATCCTCTGGTCACAGGCTCAGCGTATTCTGAGCCTCTGGTAGAAAACATGGTTTTATTCTGGGGGAGGCCAGTGTTCCCACCCCAGCCTCCTTCCCTGGAGGAAGGCCCCAGCCCAGGTCTCCAGCCTCTCTCCCTCTGACCTGCCCTTCGGGACCTTGGGGCTGGTGATCCCCCAGCCTCCTTCTCTGGGCCACATCCACTCCAGGAAGCAGGGCTGGGCCCTGCCTAGGTGCTCCTCTGCCAGGAGGGCCTTGTCCTGGCTCCTGCCAAGGCACCCTACCCAGCCCACGGCCCCACTGGATCCCTCCTCTCCTTGCGCCTCCCCAGCCCCGGGCTGGCCTCTGCAGGTTCCACCCCAACCAGTGCAAGGGAAGGCTGAGCCGGCCGTCTCAGGGCACCTTCTGACAGTGTTGCTGCTGTCAGCTCGCTCTGCTGGCCTCAGATCTTGGAGGACTCGAGCCGGGGACTCCAGGGTGTGGGGGGCTCCCGCAGTGCCCGCAGTTCCTGCTCCAGTGCCTGGTTGCGGCGGTACATGTCCATGTACCCTCCCTGGATCTCCCGCTGGTAGCGCAGCACGCGCTCCTTCTCCTCCTGCCAAGTCCGCCGCTCCTGCTCAAAGCGCAGCGCCTGCTCCTGGCCCCGAAGTCGCTCCTGCAGCAGCTCAGCCCGCAGCTGCTCAGCACTGTCTCTGGCCTCGCTGCCTCCTGCCTCCCCTAGCAGGCCCCTGCTCTTGCAGTCATCAGTCTCACAGCTGCCTGGGGCTTCCTCCCGAGGGGCCTGCTCCTGCAGGCTGCGCACAGCCTCGCGCAGCCGGACCAGCTCTGCGTCCTGAGCCTGGGCTTGTGCCCGGCTGCCCCGAAGTTGTGTCTTCAGACTGAAGATCTCCGCCAGCTTCTGGGCCAGTTCCGCCTGGGCTTCACGCAGCTGCTGCTTCAAGAGGCTAATCTCTGCTGTCTTCTGGCACACCTGGGGGATGGGGAGGACGCAAGCAAAGTAGGGTGTGGGGAGCCGGTTTGGGAGGGGGCAGGCAGAAGAAGGGACCGGCAATGGAGATGGGAGAGTCTCGGAGCCCTGTGTCATCTCTCACCTCCCATCGGGCTTCCTCCTCTGGTCGTGCACTGGGGTCAGCCTCTGGGAGGGTGCCGGGGGCCCGAGGCTCCGGAGCCAGGCCCTGCTGAGCCCGCAGCTCCTTGCGCAGGCGCCGCTGCTCCTGCTGAGCCATAAACAGCTGCAGCTGGAGGTTGCGCTCGCTGCGCTCAGCCTTCTGGGTCACCTCGTGCAGCCGCTCCACATACAGGCGCTTCAGCTCAGCCAGCCACAGCCGCTGGCGCTCCTCCAGCACCTGTCAAGGGGAAGAGATGCATCCACCGTGGCCCTGCCCCCTAGAGGCGACTCAGAGCTCCACCTGATACTCCAGCCACTGATCATATCCTGTGCCCCTACACCACAGGACCCAGCCACACATGCGCTTTAACCCGGGATGCCCTCCAGGGTGAGGTGTCCCCATCACATGGCCCTCCCAGGGAGCCTCTCTCCTTCCCACACAACTCCCAGGCAAGGACCCCCAGTGACATGACATCCCCACCACCTGGGATGCAGAGGAAGGAAGCCAAGCCAGCTCCCCCTTTCTTGCTCTCTTGTGTCCACGGCCACGTGGGTGAACTGGCTGGGGCCCCTCTCTCTGGCCTGTACCCCAGTGCTGAGGCACAGAACAGGACTCCAGGGCAGGGGCTCCCTCACCTGCGTGAAGGGGTTGGAGCCGTCCTCATCGCCAAGGCCCCTCTTGAGCTCCTCACAGGTCTCGGGCAGCACGGCTCCCATTTCCTCGGCAGAGGAGCAGGAGAACTCGTAGGGGGGTGGTGGCTCGGGCAGGCAGCTCAGCACAGCTGGTGGCCCAGCCTCCTTGGGTCCTTGAGAGGCCCGGTCCAGGGAGCCCCCGAGGTGGTTAAGGTGGCCAAGGGAGGAGCTGAAGGGGCTAGGGCCAGTACCAGGACTGCGACCAAAACTACCCCCACTGGAGGAGTCGGACAGGCTGGGCTCGGGCTCAGGGCCGCCCTCATCTAGGCTGAGGGCGTGCAGCAGCTGTGCCCGGGCCTGGCTGGCCCGGGGCCCGGGGCTCAGGGGCGGGTGGCAGGCCAGCGTGTGCAGGCTGCCATTGCTGCGCCACAGCTTCTGGCCTTTGTGGGACGCCAGACTTTGCATGGATAGGAAGCCTTTCCCGTTGCCCGCCGTAGGCTTGAACACTGAGGGGCGAATGCGGCACTGCCAGGAAGAGAGGGCAGAGAGGGCAGGTGTGAGACCTGGGCAGCTGCCTGCTCTACCTCCTGATGCTCTCACAGCCCCTGAGGGATCCTCTTTGAGACCGCGGGGCACGTGCCACCAGGAGGCAGTGAACAAACCTCAGGCCAGCCCATAGCACGATTTTCGTATCTCAGCATGCCCCGTCCCCACCCCATCCCAACATCAGGGTCTCCAAGGAGACCCCACCCTCCCCACACCTTGTAAGGGGCATGGGCAAAGGTGCACCTTGTCAAAGCGACCCCGTTCTGGCAGCGAGGTCTTGCTGAAGTCACCCGCGCGAGAATGTTCCCGGTAGTAGAGGGTGGCATAGTCGGCAGGCTCGTTCCGAGGGGCCCGCTTGGTGTTCTTGGTGCTCTTGCTGTCCTTCTTGGGGAGGTGCAGGTAGCTGAGGAACTCACGCTGGCCCAAGCCCTTCCGGAGGAGCCCATCAGGCTGGCGGGAGCCCCGAGACCCGGCAAGTGCCGCCCGCAGCTCTTCAGGGGAGAAGTCCTGCCGTTCCAACAGGCTGCCCACGCTGCCCATGGCAATGCCAGCAGGGCCTGGGGCTGTGGCCATGAAGTTTCAACAGGGTACAGGCAGCTGCTTCTGGGAATTGGGAGGCTCCATTAGGGGCAGGTGAGCACTGGCTGCCCAACTTCCCTGGGGCCTGAAAACAAGGTACTTGCTCCCTGTAGCTCCCCACAACCTTGCCCAGGCCCAGGTAAGGCAGATGTGGGTCCAAGAGAGAACCCCGGGACAGGATCCCTAGACTGGCAAGAGAAAGAAGTACAAGCCCCAAAGCCACCTGCCCATCTGTCACTTGCTGGACTGAGTCTAAGGAAGAGCAATGGTGCCCCAGCCGAGCACCGAAGGGCCAGCTCCACCTCGGGGCCTGTGTGGGATTCAGAAGTACCGGGAGGGGATAGGCCTGGAAGCAGCAGGACAGGAGCCGTCCTCCCAGCACTGGGCCCGCACAGGGCTAAGGAAGACAAACTTGGCCGGGCGCGGTGGCTCACGCCTGTAATCCCAGCACTTTGGGAGGCTAAGGCAGGCAGATCACAAGGTCAGGAAACGCAGACCATCCTGGCTAACACTGTGAAACCCCATCTCTACTAAAAATACAAAAACTAGCCGGGCATGGTGGTGGGCGCCTGTAGTCCCAGCTACTCGGGAGGCTGAGGCTGGAGAATGGCATGAACCTGGGAGGCAGAGCTTGCAGTGAGCCGAGATCGCACCACTGCACTCCAGCATGGGCGACAGAGGGAGACTCCATCTCAAAAAAAAAAAAAAAAGAAAACTCAGCCTGGCTGAACCTGACCTTGCTTACCCTCCTGCCATGTTCCCCACCAAATCTGTGGGGTGGGGAGAAGGCACAGAGACCCAAGGCCAGTGAGACCCTCCTTCCCATGGGAGAGGGGTAACCCCTGCAGGCCCTCTTCCTGCAAAGGGCAAAGCTCCCCAAGGGAAACATCTGGCATGGGGGGGAGGGTTGGGGGCTACAGTGGGAGGGATACAAACAGGAAGGGCCCAAAAGGAGGAAGGATGACGTGAACAATGGCCACAGTTTCCGGGACAGGTGTTCCCGTCTGGGCAGTGGTGGGTGGAGGAGGGAAGGGGCAGCTGGACTCACTCCAGCCCCTGTATATGCTCTTATTCCAAAGCCCACCACCCGGCAGGGTGGGTCCCAAATCCTAACCCTGGCGGAACCAATCGGTGTGTGACCCCGGCCAAGCCACTAACCTCAGTGAGCCTGGACTTCCGCACACACACCCTGGCGACAATAACACTTATCACTGGGATGCTGGGAGGATGGGGTGGGATAACATGACAGAGCACCCAGTTCAGGGCCTGGGCCACAGCCAGGGTCAACAGGCTGGCTGGAGCCGAGCTCAGCCAGGCACACAAACATCACCAAGGGACTAGGCTGACGGACCACCTTCCACCTGTGCTGGGCCACACACTCTGGAGGCAGGGCTGGTACCTAGTCCCCTGGGGATCCTCTGCACAGCCCAGTGCCCAGCATGGAGCGGGCGTGCAGAAAGGTCTGGCCGAGTGAACAAATGCCACCTTCTCTGCCTCCCACCCCTGAGCAGCTGCTCCCATTCTCGAACAGAAGCCCAGCAGGCCAGCTGCAGCTGTGGGTCCCCTACTACCACCCATGCTTCCGGGCACCCACTCCTGCCCCCGAACAATGGTCGTTAGGAGGTTCCATCTTCCTCAACCATTTCCAGGTTTTGTGTTTGTGGAAGACAAAGCTCTCCGGGAGGGGGACCTGCCCCAACCCCACAGCCTCACCTCACCCTGTGCAAAAATGACCTCAGCTCTCCCCCAACCAACCCCCAAACCCAGGATGGGGCGAATCCGGGTTTGCACACCCCACCCAGCCCAGCCCCTGAGAACGCACGTTGCAGGCTACATAGGAGATGCATCCAGGTAAGGAATCACAGGGGATGGGTTCCTACAGCGACTTGGCCCTGCATACGGGTCCTGCTGAGTCCTGTGACAGAGTTATTGTCCCTTCTTTTTTTTTTTTTTTTTTTTTGAGACAGGGTCTTGCTCTTCACTCTGTCACCCAGGCTGGACTACAGTAGTGCAACCATGGCCCACTGCAGCCTCGAACTCCTAGGATCAAGCCATCTTCCCACTTCAGCCTCCTGAGTAGCTAAAAACACAGGTGCGTGACACTGTGCCCAGCTATTGACCCTTCTTAAAGGTCAGTGGGGCTCAGAAAGGTGAAGTGACTTGCCCAAGGTCGTAGCTGGTCATGGCTGCCCAATGTCTAGTGGGACCTAGGATTGGTCCCTACAGCCAAAAGTATTAGAATGGAAGCATCCTGCCTCCTCATCTGATACCTCCTTGCCACGACAAGCCCATCCAGCCAGAGATGTGGTTTGTCCACAAGCACGCTCAACTCCTGTTGCTGCTTCTTGGGGAGGGGACAGCAGAGACCTGCTCTCCAGCCTGCCCTCACTCTCTCCAGGGGACCCCAGACACAAATGCTCCGCCTTTTGCCATGCCTCAGTTTCTGCATCTCTGAAGCGGGAAAGGGCCAGGCATGGTGGCTCACACCTGTAATCCCAGCACTTTGGGAGGCTGAGGCAGGAGGATCACTTGACCCCAGGAGTTTGAAACCACCCTTAGCAACATAGCGAGACCCCATCTCTATTTATTTTTAAAAAGGAAAAAAAAATGAAGTGGGAAAGACCCCGCCTGCCCGGCTTTCCTCAAAGGATTACTGACAGTCAGAGATGGAGGGGAAAGGGCTTATGAAATGTAAGCCCTGTGTGGCCCTGGGGGCGGGGACGTTGGCAGCAGTGCCAAATACGCCCACCTCACCCCAAATGCACACCGCCTCAGCTTCCGGTGGGCAGATGCTCACTTCCTGTCTCGAGGAGATAACCGACCCCCAGGTTCCCCACGAGGCATCGCAGGTCCAGGGAAAGTCCCTGAGCTAGAGGTAGCCACCGGCCGCAACAGCGCATACAACCACACACGCCACGGTGTGCCACATGTCAGCCCCACCCAGCAGCACAGAGAGCCCATGTTAGAGGACACGGTGCAGACGGTCACGTCCAGCAGCAAACACAATCATACAGCTGTGCACAAGGTCACCCACAGGACACACTGACAAAGCAGGAGCAGCCCAGTGGCATGATGACCTAGTGTCCTTCCCAGCCCCCAGGCTAGTGAAGGAGCAGCAGACAGCCCCTTCCCTTTGTCTCTCCTTAGGCCCCCCACCGTCCCCACTGTGCCCCTCCTGGCTGACTGACTGGATTATCAGCTCCCCCAGCAGGGCGGGGGCCCCCAGCTTTCAGGACACTCCTCCCTGCGTATGTCACAGAGTGGGGACAGTCTCTTTTCCTAAAGGGGTCCATCCTACCTCCACCCCCTCCCCCAACACATACATTCCTTCCTTCCTGTTGCTTGGAAGCCCAGGGATTGCCTGCTCCGGGCAGGGCAGCTGGGCAGGGCAGCTGTGCAGGCGGAGGGGATTTGGTGGGGGAGGAGGGAGGGAGGACAGCAAGTGCCTTGCAGCCTCACTGGAACATCAGAGCAAAAAGCCGGGGACCCTGCACGGGTCGTGGAGAGAAGGGTAGGGGACAAGCCAAGTGCCTGGGCTTCCCTGAGCTGGGAGCGGCAAACCCCCAGCCACACAGCTGGCTAGATTTGGGCTGGGACATTCAAGCCACATTCTCCACAGGTCCTGGCTAGCCCCAGTAAGGCCTCTTCACTCCTGCTCCCCGCCACCAGTCCCCTCACCCCTCTCCAGTCCCCAAGATTAGCAGGCAGCACTGGAATCTCTGAACACGGAGAGGAATTGCTTTCGGACCAATCCTTGGTGGAGATGGAAGACACAGCTGCCCTGGCCAGGAAGCAAAGAAGGAGAGGACGCGCTTTCTTTGAGGGGGGCGTCCCAGAGCCTGTTGGTGCCCTTTTGGGTCACGCCAAAGGGCACTATCACATCCTCACAAGACACACAGGAGATGAGTTCTGTCATCCCCCACTTCACAAGAGGAAACTGAGGTTCAGAAAGTGAAGTAACACGCCTAAGGTCACGTTCAGCCGCAGGGGAGAAAGCACACAGGCTCCAGGATTAGAAGTCCTCTCGGATCCCACCTTGCATCTCCTCTGGGGTGGGACATTCCAGTCCCCACATGGGCAGGAGTGCTGCCTGCCCTGGCTACAGTCAGCCCCTCCTGAGCCCTGGCCCCAGGGAAAGGTCCCACCACCTGCTGGGGGATCAGCTCTGCTAAGGGGCGTGTCTGCAGCTGCCCCTAAGGAATGGGACTGGAATGTCCCAGCTCCAAAAGGGGGGGGTAGTAGGCAAGGGGGGCCCAGAGAGGGGCTGGGAGAGGCTGGCCCACCCCATCCCCTCTGTGACAGACACTTGAGGCAGAGACAGGGGCTAAAGCCTGCGGAAGTGGTGCTTAGTATCACCATATAGTGCTTCACGGCTGCACCGCAGTCTACAGTTTTTTCTCAGCCCTTCTATTTCATTATCTCATTTCATCTCCACAATAGCCTCGTGGGGGCAAACAGGACAGTAATTACCCTCACGCCATTTTACAGATCGGGAAACTGAGGCCTCGGAAGGCGAGGTGAGTTATCCAAGATCCCACAGTGAGAAGCAATCTCAACTCCCTGGGCAAGGTCCTTTCTACCTCAGCAGGTTGTCCTAAGCCAGGGGTCACGGGTTCCCCTCCATGGGCACACACTGCTGTGTATGTATTGCATATATGTCTGCCCAGCCCTCCATGCCTGTTTCTCCCAAGGACACTTGCAACCAGGCTGCCCTAGACTGCGGTCCACCAGGCCTGGAATCCCTCCTGCTGCCCCCCAGGTCAGGAAGAAATAGAGGAAACCTGCCTCATGGGGACTCCGAGTCGCTATGCTAGCTCTAGAGGCGGTGGCAGAGGCAGGCTGGCCGCATTCATTCACAGTCTGGCACATGCACACCACACGCTGCCAGCCGGTAGAGAAGCCCTGCCTGGGAGGGCCCTGGGAGGAGGCTGATAACCGCGCCCAGGATGGCCTCCTGCGTCCGCTCCCTCCCGAGGACAGCCAGGCCCAATCTGTTCCTATGTGGTTGGGGTCGGGGGGTGGCCCAGTGGGAGGCAACGGGTCTCAGTTCTCTTTCTGGATACAGCCAGGGCCCTGATTTCGGCTTGTCCCCAGGCCAGCCCTCACTTGGGCCAAAGGCTGTGGCCGGGACTGGACCGGGTGCTCTGGCGGTCAAGACCTAGGAATGTCCCCTACCCGCAGACCCGCAGCTGCAGCCTGGTGGACCGGCAGGGGGTTGGGGGATAAAGGAGGTGTGGGAGGAAGCGAGAGATCTCATGGGGAAGTCAGAGGGGCAAACGAGGTTGCATCCCCACGGAATTTGTGTCAGGAAAGCAGGGGTGAAGGCGAGGGTTCCCCAAAGCTGCGGGAGGTCCCGGAGCTACCTGGGGGGCGGGGTGGGAGGCGCGTCTCCTCCTGGCCCCTCCCTG
This sequence comes from Homo sapiens, assembly GCF_000001405.40. Classification (NCBI taxonomy): domain Eukaryota; kingdom Metazoa; phylum Chordata; class Mammalia; order Primates; family Hominidae; genus Homo; species Homo sapiens. Next base: position 178,114,169 of record NC_000005.10, on the reverse strand, counting down.
AGGCCTGCCGGGAGCGGCTGGGCCGGGGGGCGGAGGCCGAGGTCAGACGCCGGCGCCAAGGACGCCTGCCCCACCCAGCCGTGGCGCAGGGGTCCCGCGCGCTGCTCCCTGGAAAGCGCGTTTGCAGGGGTTGGGGAGAGCAAGGTAGCCTGCCGCCTGCCCCTCCAGCGGAGCATCGGGGTCGGTCCCCGATCCGGTGCCTCGGTGACCGGGAGCAGGGGACACCTGGGCGCACGCCGCACCTTGCCACCCCCGCCCATCTCTCAGACGGGAGCCTCGGCCAGCGGGACAGCAGCTTTGCCAAGGACGCCCGAAAACAAGACCTTGGCGACCCGCCCCACCCCTCCCCACCCCCCGAGTCCAGCCCGGGTCCCCAGCCCCTCGCGCGCCCCACTTACCATGGTGGCGACGCGCTCGCCGGCCCGCGGCTCCGCAGCCCTTGCGCGTCGCAGCTCCCCCGCGCGGATTTGAACCCTCCTGCAAGGCGTCGGCTCGGGCCGGGACTGCGTGCCGGGTCGGAGCGGCGGAGCGGCAGGCGCCGGGAAAACGCGGGCGGGCGCCGGCGCCGGAGCCGGATTGGCGAGGGAGGGACGCGCTCCGCGGCGCTCGATCGCCTGCCCCAAAGGCGGAGGGAAAACCCGGCCTGACTCACCGGCGCGCGGCAAGCCCACAGCCCGGCCCCGGCCCCCGGATGTGGGGGGCGGGGCCGCCTACCCGCGAGCCAACCTGGGCCCCGCCCGGCCCCGACCGCGCCCCCGGCCCTGACCCGCAGAGGCGCCGCACGGCGGTGGCGGGCGAAACCTGGACCGGCTGCGCCTCGCGTCGCTGCCTCCTTGAGCGCCCCGGCTCGTTCCCGAGGGGTGGGCAGCCCCGAGCGCGGCCCACGCCCCAGAGAGCGCACAGCGCCCCCGCTTCTCCTCCTCCGCCGTTCGCCTCGCCCGCCTCCTCTAAGGAAGAGGCGCGTGAGGTCCCTCACCTCCCTAATTGTAGCCGCCTCCTCTCCGGAAAACCTGATTTCCCCCCTTTGGGGATGAACCACAGTAGTACTTTGAGAAGTGAAAAGATTTTACCCCACGACTCTGGCTGAATTGGGCACAGAGTTATTTTCTTTTTGCCTCCAAAGTATTCTAGGGGCAGCAAAATCAGGTGCCTTCAGGGGCCAGAAAAATTACGCAAATGAGTCGTGAGCTTCCTACTAAGACAGTAGGAAGACATGGAAACAGACACAGACACGTAAAGGAGTCATATTCGAAAAATTAAAACACCGTTTCTAATTCAAAAGTTAAGCATAGAGTTACCATATGATCCGGCAATTATAGTCCTCAAACAAGTAATGTTCTTGGCAGTACTAGTCACAATAGTCAAAGAGCCAAAAGGTGGAAACAGCCCAAACTAACAATTGATGAGGGTGTAAGCAAACAATGGTAGATCCATTCAGTGGAATATTATTCAGCCATAAAAAAGAAATGAACGCCATGTGATGACTCATGTCTGAACTCTCCCAGCACTTTTGGAGGCCAGGAGTTCAGGAACAGCCTGGGCAACTCACAAAACTCCATCTCTATCTTAAAAAAAAAAAGACCTGATGTGGTGGCTCACCCCTGTAATCCTAGCATTTTGGGAGGCCGAGGCAGGCGGCTCACTTGAGGTCAGGAGTTTGAGACCAGCCTGGCCAACATGGCGAAATTCTATCTCTACCAAAAACACCAAACATTAGCCAGGCATGGTGGAGCGAGCCTGTAATCCCAGCTACTCGGGAGGCTAAGGTAGGAGAATTGCTTGAACCCAGGAGGCAGAGTTGCAATGAACGGAGATTGTGCCACTACACTCCAGCCTGGATGATGGCGTAAGCCTGTCTCAAAAAAAAAAAGAAAGAAAAGAAAAGAAAAAGAGGAATGAAACACTGATGATACCTGCTACAACATGGATAAACCTCCAAAACATGGCAAGTGAAAGAAACCAGACACAAAGCCCACATGTGTTAATGATGCCATTTATAATAAGTAAATCCAGACAAACAGAAAGCAGATTAGAGCCAGAGGCTGTGGGGAGAGAGAAAGGCAGAGTGATTGCCTAACAAGCATAGGGTTTCCTTCTGGGATGAGGAAAATGTTTTGGAGCCTGACAGAGGTGGTGGTTGCACAACGTTATGAATATACAAATGTCATTGAATTGTTTGCTTTAAAACGGCTAATTTTATGGTATGCACATTTTACCTCAATTAAAAAACATCTTGTCACTTGTGGAACAGATTTGGTCTACGGCCCACAAATTTGCAACCCCTTGTGTTCTATGCTGTTCTTACCAATTCTTGCTAGGACAGCATAGAACCTCTAGGAAGAACTTCTGGCCAGGCATGGCGGCTCACGCCTGTAATCCCAGCACTTTGGGAAGACGAGGTGGGCAAATCAATTAAGGCAAATGATTTGCCTGCCTCAGCCTCTCAGTGTGCTGGGAGTACAGGCGTGAGCCACCATGCCTGGCTGAAAGAACTTTTTTTTTGAGATGGAGTCTTGCTCTGTCGCCCAGGCTGGAGTGCAGTGGTGCGATCTCAGCTCGCTGCAAGCTCCGCTTCCCGGGTTCACGCCATTCTCCTGCCTCAGCATCCCAAATAGCTGGGACTACGGGTGCCCACCACCACACTCGGCTAATTTTTTGTATTTTTAGTGGAGATGGGGTTTCACCATGTTAGCCAGGATGATCTCGATCCCCTGACCTCGTGATCCACCCCCCCTTGGCCTCCCAAAGTGCTAGGATTACAGGCATAAGCCACTGCGCCCGGCAACTTTTTTTTTTTTTTGAGATGGAGTTTCACCCTTGTTGCCTAGGCTGAAGTGCAATGGCGTGATCTCAGCTCACTGCAACCTCCCCCTCCCAGGTTCAAGCGAGTCTTCTGTCTCAGCCTCCCGAGTAGCTGGTTGGCACAGGTGTGTGCCACCATGCCCGGCTAATTTTGTATTTTTAGTAGAGACGGGGTTGGTCAGGCTGGTCTTGAACTCCCGACCTCAGGTGATCCACCTGCCTCGGCCTCCCAAAGTGCTGGGATTACAGGCGTGAGCCACCACGCCCGGCCAGAATTTCTAATAGAACTGCCAGACTTCAGAATACTTGTCTAAGAAAACTCATTAATAGCTGCTGTGGGTCTCAGCCCTTGAGGAGCCAGTCTGGTAGGGTTACTCACTGGGACAGATAAAGTTTCAGAGCAAGAACCTGTTTGGCTGTTTGGGGGACCCAAGGAAAGGCCTCACTGGAGCAATGGTTTTTGAGATGGTCCTGGAAGCATTTCCACTGAGGAGTGTTCCCAGCAGAGCAGATAGCAGGGCTAGAGAAGGCAGGGCACGTTCAGCTTGCTAGCAAGGTCCAAGCCCTGGGTGGGAAAGGTTAGTGGTGGGAAGGGACGAAGGTGGCAACCGAGAGCAGACCCAGAGAAGCCTCTTGAAGTGGGCGCTGGGAGCCTCCGAAGCATTGAGAGAGAGGAGCTTGTGCACGCAGCTGGACGTGGGGCCTGTGAGGTGGCACAGGCAGGCAGGGAGGTCGGGTCCCCTGGGTCTCTAGGGAAAGAAATGGGGCCAAGGAGGACCTGGAAGCTGGAAGCTGCCGAGAAGGTGTTCATTCTGTCAACTGAGTGGGAGAGACAGTGATAGAGATGTTTATGAGAGGGTTTGAATGAAGGTTCTTATAAGAATCCACTTGCAAGAAATGGCATGAGGAAGAGAGAGAGAGGTCACAGCTAAGTTCTGATGAAAACTCAGATTCTGGGTTGGGTGCAGTGGCTCACGCCTGTAATGCCAACGCATTAGGAGGCCGAGGTGAGAGCATTGCTTAAGCCCAGGAGTTCCCTGGGCGACATAGCAAGACCCCATCTCTATAAAAAAATAAAAAATTAGCCAAGCCAGTGGTGCCTATAGTCCCAGCTACTCGAGAGGCTGAGGCAAAAGGATCCCTTGAGCCTAGGAATCAGAGGCTGCAGTGAGCTATGATCGAACACTGCACTCCAGCCTAGGTGACAGAGCAAGACCCTGTCTTTAAAAAAAAAAAGGCCGGGCACGGTGGCTCACACCTGTGATCCCAGCACTTTGGGAGGCCGAGGCAGGAGGATCACGAGGTCAGGAGATCGAGACCATCCTGGCTAACACGGTGAAACCCTATCTTTATTAAAAATACAAAAAATTAGCAGAGTGTGGTCGTGGGCGCCTGTAGTCCCAGCTACGCGGGAGGCTGAGGCAGGAGAATGGCATGAACCCAGGAGGTGGAGCTTGCAGTGAGCCGAGATGGTGCCACTGCACTCCAGACTGGGCGACAGAGCGAGACTCCGTCTCAAAAATAAATAAATAAATAAATAAATAAAGGCAGGACACAGTGGCTCATGCCTGTAATCCCAGCACTTTGGGAGGCCAAGGCAGGTGGATCACCTGAGATCAAGAGTTCGAGAACCAGCCTGGCCAACATGGTGAAAATCTGTCTGTACTAAAAATACAAAAATTAGGCAGATGTGATGGCGCACTCCCATAGTTCCAACTACTCAGGAGGCTGAGGCAGGAGAATCACTTGAACCTGGGAGGTGGAGGTTGCAGTGTCCCAAGATTGCACCACGGCACTCCAGCAGCCTGGCTGACAGAGCGAGACTCCATCTCAAAAAAAAAAAAAAAGAAAAAGAAGGTGCTCAACTGCACTGCGCTCCTGTCCTGTCCATGCGGGCTGCCTCTTGTTCTCACCCCGTCTCCTTGACCTTGGCCTCCCATTGGCCTTGCTGAGGCCTTTGAGAGAAGAAAGTGGGCTGGGCAGAGGTGAGGAGGCAGAAACCAACAGGAGGCCAGGCCTCTTTTCTTCCCTCCAACATCTGCCTGGACAGTATGGGAGAGGCCAAGCTGGACTCCTGCTGGGATGGGGGGATCTTGTATTCAGTGAACTTTATTTACCTTCCTGGACCTGCACAGCAGATGCCCCTGCAAGGGGCCACTTGCCCCCAGACATGACATTCCTGTAGAGTTGGCATGGGAGCCACACTGCTCAGATGCCAAGGGGTGGGGCACTCAGGGCACCAGGCCAGGGGAAGTGAAACCAGCCTCCCTGGATGCACCCACTTCCTGAATTGGCTGACCTGGGACACTTTAATTTCTCTCTCTGAGCCTTAGTTTCCTCAGCTCTGAAAGGGGAGGATTAAGTGAACTAGCACCTCTAAAGCACCCTGCACAGTGCCTGGTAAGTGGCAGCATCTGTGAAGGTCAGTTGGTCCTTCTGCCTTTTCCTTATGGGGAAGGTTTGTCAGAAGGACAGAATGCTTGTCATGGGCCCGTCTTGAAGTGCTGGAAGGCTGAGTCCTGCCCACACCGGCACGCACCTTCGTTGTTGTGGGTCTGTGGTCTGTCTTCCTGCATCCATGCTGTCTGTGAGTGGCCAGGACTGTATCACCCTGCAGCCATCCTGGTGAGGAGGAATTTCCTCATCTCTCTGGCCACCACCTCTGGCCTCATCACCTTTCTTCTTGACTGTTGCAACAACCTGCCTTGGCTTCCTACTGCCCAGCCACCCCCGACTCTGCCCCAGAGGGAGCCTTGTAGCCTACGCATTCTGTCCCCACACTCCTCTGCCCGAGAGGTGTAGTCCCAGCTTCAAGACTGGCCCTGCAACTCCTTTAGTCTTCGGGCCAAGCCACTGCTACTGCTTCTGTGCATCTCTGCTCTGGGAGCTGCCTCTGTGTCCTCATCCATAAGTGGCTGGTTGTTGGAATAGTCCATTAAGAGCACCCACTGTCCTCAAGGCCCCTCCTTCTACCCTCAAGGCAAAATTAATCACCCCATCCTCTTGCCGCTCCGGACTTTTTCTGTTTCTTTGCTGTGATGGTGCTTGTCACAGTGCGTTATCCTCTGTCACCCTCAAGAGACAGTGAGCCCTGAGTGTGGGGGACTGGTGGCCAGCACATGTCCAGACTCCCCCAGTTCTTCTTACAGTGCCTGACAGTTAGCCATGCTCAGCTCTAAGACACCATCTGCAAAAAGGCAATTCAGGACTGTTTTCTAACCAGGAGGAGGAGCTGAAGCAAGGCAGCCCTGGCTCTGAATCCCAGTCCTGTCCGTGACTTCCTGGTGACCTTCCTGAGCCTCGGATTCTTCATTGGTAAAGCAGGCAGCATCCCCTGGGCATGTCCAGGGACCTGACAGCTTTGTGTCCCCTGGCCGCCTTTCACTCCTTGCCCTCCCTTGTCCTCTCTCCCCTGGAGCTGGGCCAGGCCCCAGCCTGAGGGAGGAGAGCTGGGCATTCTTGGAGAGGCAGCATCTGAGGGTTTCAGACCTTGCAAAGCGCAGGCTAACAGATAACTCCTGGTGCCGGCCCTAGCTCTGCCAGTCCTCCAAGATTGGTCTTTTACAAATTTTTATTTATTTTTAACATTGTTTTTTAGGCTGGGTAGAGTGGCTCATGCCTATAATCCCAGCACTTGGGGAGGTTGAGGTGGGTACATCACTTAAGGTCAGAGGTTCAAGACCAGCCTGGCCAACATGGAGAAACCCCATCTCAACTAAAAATACAAAATTAGCCAGGGGTGGTGGTGCACACCTATAATCCCAGCTACTTGGGAGGCTGAGGCAGGAGAATGGCTTGAGCCCGGGAGGTGGAGGTTGCAGTGAGCCAAGATCACACCACTGCACTCCAGCCTGGGTGACAAGAGCAAAACTCCGTCTCAAAAAAAAAAAAAATTTTTTTTTTGTAAAATAGAGGCAAGGTCTATGTTGCCCAAGCTGGTCTCAAACTCCTGGGCTCAAGCAATCCTCCTGCCTCAGCCTTCCAAAGTGTTGAGATTACAGCTGTGAGTCGCCACATCCAGCCCAAGATTGTTCTAAAACTGTGTCACAGAGGGGTATTGTGGCTGTGGGGCAGAGCCAGTGGGGCTGTGCACCCACCCAGCCTCCCCAGCCCTCCCCACTCTCGCACCTGGGGTCAAAGTGGACTCCTGGACCTGGGCTGCCTCCCCGAGTCAGCAGAGCTGGAGAGGAGCCTTCGTTCACTCCTCCTGCTTCCTCTTCCCTGGGTCCCCCCACCCCCAGGGGTGACTGGGGCAGCCCCAGGCAGGAGGTTGGGGTGGAAGTTGAGAGCTGCCATGACTTGCTCAGGTGTCTGCCCCGGGGCAGACCTCAGACCTTCAGGAGCCCATGAGGACTCACACCCCGGAAGTCCAGGCAGTCCAACTGGCCCACTCATGCACCACTGGGACTACAGGTGTGAGATTACCTGCCCCGACCTCCCTAAGTGCTGGGGTTACAGGCCACCGGAAACCTGGACCAGCCCCACAGCTAAGTCCAGGTGGAGCTGCCACCCCAGATGGTAACACGGTACTTTGCCCAGAAACTCCTGGGCTGCAGTCCCTCAGTTGCAGTGATTTATGGCAAGGGGTTGGGGGTGGACGAAGTCTGGAGGAGTCATTGTGAAACTACAGCAGCACCATGAAGAGAGCTCCGGGGATGGGTGGCACGACGGTGCACATGTGCTTCACACCACTGAACTGGACACTTCAAGATGGTTAAGAGGCCGGGTGTGGTGGCTCATGCCTGAAATCTCCCAGCACTTTTGGAGGCTGAGGTGCGTGGATCACAGGAGGCCAGGAGTTCAAGACCAGCCTGGCCAACATGACAAAACCCCGTCTCTACTAAACATACAACAATTATCCAGGCATGGTGGTACACACCTGTATCCCAGCTACTCGGGAGGCTAAGGCACGAGAATCCCTTGAATCCGGGAGGCAGAGTTTGCAGGGAGCTGAGAGAGGACTGATGTACTTCAGCCTGGGCGACAGTGCAAGACTCTGTTTCAAAAAATAGTTAGGTTTTGTGTGCATTTTACCATGATTTGAAATGTTTTAGGCCAGGTGTAGTGGTGCACACCTGCAGTCCCAGCTACCCAGGAAGCTGAGCCAGGAGGATTGCTTGAGGCCAGGAGTTAGAAGCTTGTGACTGGGCCACTGCACTCCAGCCTGGGCAGCAGAGCAAGACTCCACCTCTTAAAAAAAAAAAGAGACAGAAAAAAAAAAAATCTGTGTAATACAGTGACTTGGATTGTCACAGTCCAGAGTTGTCCAAAAGGTGCTGGCCATGGGCCACTATTTTTTTTTTTTTAACCAAGACTTTACCTAGATTATTTTTAAAGCTTAATTACAACAATTTTCGAATATACACAAAGGTAAAGGGAGGGAATTTTTAAAAACTCCCACGTACCCACTGCCTGCCTTTAAAAGTTACCCAGCAGAGGCTGATTTTATTTACTTCCACACAAACCCTCCCACACTCCAGGGTTCTTTTTTTTTTTTTGAGACGGAGTCTTGCTCTGTTGCCCAGGCTGAAGTCCAGTGGTGCAATCTCAGCTCACTGCAACCTCCACCTCCTGGGCTCAAGCAACTCTCCTGTCTCAGCCTCCTGAGTAGCTGGGACTACAGGCACATGCCACCATGCCTGGCTAATTTTTGTATTTTTAGTAGAGATGGGGTTTCACCATATTGGTCAGGCTGGTCTCGAACTCCTGACCTCAGGTGACCCACATGTCTCAGCCTCCCAAAGTGCTGGGATTACAGGCATGAGACACCACGACTAGCCTATTTATTTATTTTAGAGACAGGGTCTTCCTCTGTTGCCCAGGTTGAAGTGCAGTGGTGTAGTCATAGCTCACTGCAGGCTCAAACTCCTGGGCTGAAGAGATCCTCCTGCCATGGCCTCCCAAAGTGCTGGGATTACAGGCATGGGCCATTGTGCCTGGCCTAAATTGTAATAATTTTACAGTTTGCCTCAAACGAGGACTGACGTCTAGGCAAGGTCTGCTGGGGGCCTCCCACATGCAGGCAGTCTCTCTGCTGTGCCCTCCACCAGCTCCGAGGGCCCCCTGCCCACAAGCACCGCTCTCTCCTTTCCCCTCTGGGGAAGGCCAGGAGAAGTGACTTTTGAGGTTACCTGAAGGACTTCTGTCTGTTTGGAAAAGGGTGTGAAGCTGAAGCCGATGGCCTCAGTGCCCAAAGGGGAACGCTTCCCACTGGCCTATGGAAGCCACAGGCCTGACAGTGGGGTCCTGGTCTTGGGGGTCTCAGCCACGTGGCCACCCATTCCTTCCTCACTTAGGCATCCACCTAGCGGTCTGCTCACACCCCCTTCCATCTATCTGTGTTCAGCCAATCAGGCAAGCCAGGGTTATAGCCCTCCCTGCCCTGGGCCCTGGCTCCATGAAGCACCATGGGCCTTGGAAGACCTCCCCAAATCATCCTGTCCCCCCAATATCTTCTGCCAAGGCAGAAGTTTCCCCGGGCCCCTGCTCTGGTCCGCTTCCTTGGCACAGTTTGTAGCTGTGCCTGATACAGCCCACCTACCTGGCTTCTGTCCCAAACCCGCAGCCAGGCCATGTGACAGCTGCTGCCTGTGCCCAAACATTCATCCAGCCCCACCCAGGAGAGCCAGGCAGGCACTCACACACTCTCACCCACACACCCTCACCCGCACACCCCCACCCACACCCTCCCCCACACACCCCCACCCACACACCCTCACCTGCCTGGCCCTGCCACACCCCCACCCCACCCTCCCTCTAAACCTACTGGGGCAGCAGCTTCCCCTACCTTCCGCCTGCTCCACCTCCTCCTAGAGCTGTCTTACACACAGTTTCCCATGCCCTTGGCAGGTTGGTCATGGCCCTGGCAGGTCTGAGGACAGGGTGGGCACAGGACTGTGTGCAGCATAGAAAAGTCAGGGAGTGCAGCCTCCTACTCTGTGCCAGCTGCCAGCCCCTGGAGCTTACCAGGTTGACGGGGACAAAGAATGCACCAGAGGGAACAGTGACCAGCCTGGGCAACAGAGCAAGACCCTGTCTCAAAAAGGAAAAAAAAAAATGGGGAGGAAGGCGATTGGGCAGAGGGCACCAGCAGAAGAGCTCTGGATCGAAGTGCCTGACAGAGGAGTCCCCCGTTAGAAAAGGTCCTGATACTAAGGGAGGAGACCACCCCTCATATTGTCTTATGCCCAATTTCTGCCTCCAAAGAAAGAAAAAGTAAAAACTAAAAGGCAGAAATGAAATCCACAAGCAGACAGCCCAGCACCACACCCTGGGCCTGGTAGTTAAAGATCGACCCCGACCTAATGGTTGATGTTATCTGTAGATTACAGACATCGTATAGAAAAGCACTGTGAAAATCCCTATCCTGCTTTGTTCCCGACTAATTACTGGCGCATGCAGCCCCCAGTCACGTACCTCCTAACCCTCTCACGCGCACCCCCTTAGAGTTGTGAGCTCTTAAAAGGGACAGGAATTGCCCACTCGGGGAGCTCGGCCCTTGAGACAGGAGTCTTGCCGATGCCCCTGGCCGAGTAAACCCCTTCCTTCTTTAACTCAGTGTCTGAGGAGTTTTGTCTGCGGCTCATCTTGCAACAATACCACTGCCTTGCTCAGTCACTGGCCACCAGGGAACAGGGTGGCCTCGATCTGAGAGCTGAGGGGACCCGGAAGGTGCTGACAGCTGGGCAGTGAGTGAGTCCTTTTGAAGGGGCATATCTCCTTCCCCACTCACTCCTGCTGGGCCAGGCTGGGTAGCGGGCGCCCTGGGTTGCAGACATTAAGCCTTTAGAATGGAAGCTGGTTGACGGCAGGACTGTGGCCACCTAGACTCTTTCACCCCCGGTCTGTCACAGGCCAGGACCCACAAGGCCCTCGGCATGCTTAAGTGAATGTGTGCAGGAGTGAGGGAATGAACTTCCTCGAAAGAATTCTGGTGTGGGGCGGGGCGCGGTGGCTCATGCCTGTAATCCCAGCACTGTGGGAGGCCGAGGGGGGCGTGGATCATGAGGTCAGGAGTTTGAGACCAGCCTGACCAACATAGTGAAACCCCGTCTCTACTAAAATTACAAAAATTGGCCGGGCGTGGTGGTGTGCTCCTGTAATCCCAGCTACTTGGGAGGCTGAGGCAGGAGAATGGCTTGAACCCGGGAGGCGGAGGTTGTGGTGAGCCGAGATCGCACCACTGCACTCCAGCCTGGATGACAGAGTGAGAGTCCATCTCAAAAAAAAAAAAACCACCAAGAATCCTGGCGTGGTGAGATTCTGGAACTTGGCCTCAGGGACCTGCATTCACATTCAGCCCTGGCCCTTCTTAATTTCTTTGACCTGCCCTAGGCCTTAATTTCTCTGTTGGTGAAATGAGAGTGATGATGCCTGTCAAGATATTTCATTTTCTTTTCTTTTTTTTTTTTTGAGACAGAGTCTCACTCTGTCACCCAGGCTGGAGTGCAGTGGCATGATCACGGCTCACTGCAACCTCTGCCTCCCGAGTTCAAGCGATTCTTGTGCCTCAGCCTCCCAAGTAACTGAGACTACAGGCATGCGCCACCACGCCCGGCTAATTGTTTTGCATTTTTAGTAAAGACAGGGTTTCACCATATTGGCCAGGCTGGTCTCGAACTCCTGACCTCAAGTGATCCACCGCCTTGGCCTCCCAAAGTGCTGGGATTACAGGCATGAGCCACCGCCCCCGGCTGGTCATGATACTTCAATGTAGTGGTGTAGAATCATGTGTCTGCCACGACCTTCCTTAGGTGGAGCAGAAAATGTCACCCCCACGTAAGAAAAGGAACAGGAAGAAAATATGCCAGGATATGTCTCTGGGTGATTTTTTTTTTTTTTTTTGAGACGGAGTTTTGCCCTTGTTGCCCAGGCTGGAGAGCAGTGTTGCAATCTCCAGCCACTGCAAGCTCCGCCTCCCGGGTTCACGCCATTCTCCTGTCTCAGCCTCCCTAGTAGCTGGGACTACAGGCACCCGCCACCACACCCAGCTAATTTTTTGCATTTTTAGTAGAGACGGGGTTTCACTGTGTTAGCCAGGATGGTCTCGATCTCCTGACCTCGTGATCTGCCCGCCTCGGCCTCCCAAAGTGCTGGGATTACAGGCGTGAGCCAGCCACCGCGCCTGCCTGGCTGATTTTTTTGTTTTAAGTTGTTTTTTTTTTTTTGAGACAGGGTCTCACTCTATCACCCAGGCTGGAGTGTAATGGTGTGGTCTCAGCTCACTGCAACCTCTGCTTTCCAGGTTCAAGCAATTCTCCTGCTTCAGCCTCCCAATGTAGCTGGGACTACAGGTGCACGCCACCACACCCAGCTAATTTTTGTATTTCTTTTTAATAGAGACGGGGTTTCACGATGTTGGCCAGGCTGGTCTCAAACTTCTGGTCTCGTGATCTGCCCCTCTTGGCCTCCCAAAGTGCCGGGATTACAGGCATGAGCCACTGCGCCCAGCCTGTTTTAAATTTTATTTTGAAATAGTTTTAAGATACAGAGAAAAGGCCGGGCGCGGTGGCTCACGCCTGTAGTCCCAGCACTTTGGGAGGCCGAGGCGGGCGGATCACGAAGTCAGGAGATCGAGACCATCCCGGCTAAAACGGTGAAACCCCGTCTCTACTAAAAATACAAAAAATTAGCCGGGCGTAGTGGCGGGCGCCTGTAGTCCCAGCTACTTGGGAGGCTGAGGCAGGAGAATGGCGTTAACCCGGGAGGCGGAGCTTGCAGTGAGCCGAGATCCCGCCACTGCACTCCAGCCTGGGCGACAGAGCGAGACTCCGTCTCAAAAAAAAAAAAAAAAAAAAAAAGATACAGAGAAAAGTTGCAAAAATAGTATAGAGTTCCTTTTGTAAACCAAAATGTGTGAGACAGGTCTCAATCAATATAGGATTTTATTTTGCCAATGTTAAGGGCATGCCCAGGAGAGAGGTCTGTGCCTCTCTCCAAAGATGATTTTGAGGGCTTCACTTTTAAAGGGTAAAAGTAGGCTGGAGGGAAAGAGGGAGGGTGTCGTAATGTGGGAATCCACACGTTGCAAGAGGAACAGGCAGGGTAATAGCCTTAGTGTGAATTTTTTTTTTTTTTTTTTTTTTTGGAGACAGGGTCTCACCTCTGTCACCCAGGCTGCAGTGCAGTGGCGCAATCACAGCTCACCACAGCCTCAATTTCCCGAGCTCAGGCAATCCTCCCACCTCAGCCTCCCCAGTAGCTGGGAGTACAGGCACGTACCACCACGCCCAGCTAATTTTTGTATTTTTTGTAGAGACGAGGTCTCTCCATGTTGCCAGTCTCTTCCCAAACTCTTGGGCCCAAGCGATCTGCCTGCCTCGGCCTCCCAAGTGCTGGGATTACAGGCATGAGCTGCCGCGCCGGCCCGCCTTAGTTTCCTTTCACACCTTATATCTTTCACTCAGCCTCGCCCAGTGTTAACATCTTATGTAATCATAGCACAAAGATCAAAATGAGGAAATTAACATGGGTACAATACTATAAACTCCAGTCTTTATAGTTTTTTCAGAGACAGGGTCTCCCTGTGTCCAGGCTGCAGTGCAGTGACACCATCGCAGTTCACGTGGCCTTGACCTCTCAGGCTAAATCCATCCTCCCGCCTCAGCCTCCCGAGTAGCTGGAACTGCAGGTAAGTGCCACCTCACCCAGCTAATTAAAAAAAATTTTTTTGGCCAGGCGTGGTGGCTCATGCCTGTAATCCCAGCATTTTGGGAAGCCGAGGTGGTCAGATCACAAGGTCAGGTGATCGAGACCATCCTGGCTAACATGGTGAAACCCCATCTCTACTAAAAATACAAATAAAACAAAATTAGCCGGGAGTGTTGGCGGGCGCCTGTAGTCCCAACTACTCGGGAGGCTGAGGCGGGAGAATGGGATGAACCCAGGAGGTGGAAGCTTGCAGTGAGCCAAGATTGCACCACTGCACCTCAGCCTGGGGGACAGAGCGAGACTCCATTTCAAAAACAAAAAAAAAATTTTTTTTTTGGCCGAGCACTGTGGCTCACACCTGTAATCCCAACACTTTGGGAGACCGAGGCAGGAGGATCACTTGAGCCCAGGGATATGAGACCAGCCTGAGCAACACAGTGAAACCCTTCATCTACAAAAACTACAAAAACTACAAAAATTAGCTGAGCATGTTGGCTGCACCTGTAGTCCCAGCTACTTGAGACGCCAAGGTGGGAGGATGGCTTGAGCCCAGGAGGTCGAGACTGAGTGAGCTGAGATTGTGCCACTGCACTCCAGCTTGGATAACAGAGGTGAGACCCTATCTCAAAGAAAAAAAAATTTTTTTTTTGAGACAGTGTCTCGCTCTATCGTCCAGGCTGGAGTGCAGTGGCATGATCTCGGCTCACTACAACCTCCGCCTCATGGGTTCAAGTGATTCTTGTGCCTCAGCCTCCTGAGTAGCTGGAACTACAGGTGCCCACCACCATGCCTGGCTAATTTTTGCATTTTTAGAAGAGACAGGGTTTCGCCATGCTGGCCAGACTAGTCTTGAACTCCTGACCTCAGGTGATCCACCCGCCTTGGCCTCCCAAAGTGCTGGGATTACAGGCGTGAACCACCGCGCCCAGCCAAAAAAAATTTTTTTTAATTTATTTAGAAACAGGGTCGCACCATGTTGCCCAGGTGGTCTAGAACTCCTGGCCACAAGCTATCTTCCCATCTCAGCCTTCTGAGTAGCTGGGACTACAGGCACCAGAGACCAGGCCCAGCTAAGCTTTACATGGATTTAATCAGTTTTTTCATTAATGTCCATTTTCTGGTCTGGGATCCAACCTGGCATTGCACTGAGCTGGCACGGCTCCTTAGTGTCCCCCAGTCCCAGAGAGTTCCTCAGTTTTTCCCCATCTTTCGAGACTCACTTTTTGAGGAGGGCTGGTCAGAGGCTTTGTAGAGTACCCCTCAGCTTATGCTGGAGGAGGCTCTGTGGGGAAGGGTGACACCGAGGTGTACCCTCAGTGCATATCCAGACTAAACGTTACCAATAGATCATGGAACTTATTGGTGATGGCCACCTTCGTCCCTTCGTTGGGTGGTGTCTGCCAGGTTTCTCCACTATAAAATTGCTATTTTCCACTTTGGGAGGCCAAGGCGGGCGGATCACCTGAGGTCAGGAGTTCAAGACCAGCCTGGCTAACGTGGTGAAACCCCGTCTCTACAAAAATACAAAAATTAGCCGGGCATGATGGCAGGTGCCTGTAGTCCCAGCTACTTGGGAGGCTGAGGCAGGATAATCACTTGAACCCGGAAGGTGGAGGTTGCAGTGAGCCGAGATCACACCACTGCACTCCAGCCTGGGCGACAGATCGAGACTCTGTCTCAAAAATAAAAGAATTAAAAAATAAAAATAAAAATAAAAATAAAATTGCTATTTTCCTCTTTTAACTAATACATATCTTGGTGGGGGAGGGAAGGGTGCTTTGAGAGTATGCAAATATCTTTCTCCGACTCTCTTGCGTCAGTTGGTGGATCTTGCCTGCGGCAAGTTTTACTCCGCCGCTGTGATGGTGATTTTTCTATTTGTCTTAGTCCTTCTACATTTAATAATTAGAATTCTTCTGTGTGAAAGAGCTGTCTCTCTCCCCTCATTTACTTATTTGTTCAGTCACTTGCTTATATCAGTGTGGACTCATGGGTGTTTATTTTATTCCATGGGTCATAATCCAGTACTAATATTACTTTTAAATTTACTCTGTGTTTTTTGTTTGTTTGTTTGTTTGTTTTTTGAGATGGAGTTTTGCTCTTGTTGCCCAGACTGGAGCGCAATGGCGCGATCTCGGCTCACCGCAACCTCCGCCTCCCGGGTTCAAGCGATTCTCCTGCCTTAGCCTTCCTGAGTAGCTGGGATTACAGGCATGCACCACCATGCCCGGCTAATTTTGTATTTTTCATAGAGACGGGGTTTCTCCATGTTGGTCAGGCTGGTCTCGAACTCCCGACCTCAGGTGATCCACTTGCCTTGGCCTCCCAAAGTGCTGGGATTACAGGCATGAGCCACCACGCCTGGCTGGTTTATTTTTTTGTTTGCTTTTTGTTTTTGTTTTTTTGAGATGGAGTCTCACTCTGTCACCCAGGCTGAAGTGCAGTGGTGCTATCTTGGCTCACTTCAACCTCTGATTGGTTCCAGTGAATCTCCCACCTCCTGACTTCAAGTGATCTACCTGCCTCGACCTCCCAAAGTGATGGGATTACAGGCGTGAGCCACTGCACCTGGCCTGTTTTTTTTTTTTTTTTTTTTTTTTTGAGACAGGGTCTCTCTGTGTCACCCAGCCTGGAGTGCAGTGGCACATTCTCAGCTCACTGAAACCTCGATCTCCTGGCCTCAAGCAATCCTCCTGTTTCAGCGCCCCCAGTAGCTGGGACTATAGGCGCACACCACCAGGCCCTGCGAATTTTTGTGTACTTTTGTGGAAACAGGGTTTCACCATGTTGCCCAGGCTAGTCTCAAGGGATCCACCTCAGCCTCTCAGGTAGCTGGGACCACAGTTGCGCACCACCCCAGACCCAGCTAATTACCACAGGTGTGCACCACTCTAGACCCAGCTAATTAAAAAAAAAATTAGTAGAAATGGGGTTTTACTAGTTGCCCAGGCTGGTCTTGAACTCCTGAGCTCAAGTAATCATCCTGCCTTGGCCTCCCAAAGTGTTGGGATTACAGGCGTGAGCCATTGCACTGGGCCAGACTGGTTCGTTGTAGGCGCTGCCTCTGAAATTGCACGCTCAGCCACTCCTCGGTGTGAGCAGTGCTGGTCCTCTCTGAGCCACTTTCCCATCTCTCTCGGTTTCCTGCCCATGTCCTTCCAGAAATGTAACCAGAGCTCACGTGTACCTGAGCAGCTTAGAGACTCCCCTACATCTGAGGGGAAGATTTCAGCCCCTTGTCTTCTCAACTTTGAGAGGTGATTCAAAAGTCCTGAAAGAAAATGCAGGTAAATGTGAAAACCAAAGGGATGGAGTGAGAATATAGAGTGAGAGGGAGTGGGGGGCTCTTAAGTCCGTTTGTTCTGGGCTTGAATCCCACCTGTGGAATTTACATATAGCATGTGACCCTCAGCCTCAGCTTACACTCTCTAAAATGGGGGTGGTAGGCTCTGTCTCGCAGGGTTATGAAGAATCAAGGAAACGGTGTTTGCACGAGAGCTAGCAGTGGCAGAACACAGAATGCCGTCTTCAAACTCAAAGAGGCTCCAAAAATAAGGATCTGAATAGGATAGTGAGGGGCCTAGAAATGCCCTGTGAGGAAAGGAGTAAGAGACCCAGTCTCTGAAGAGTGGCCACAGAGGAGGGAGGACTGACGTGAAGCCATCTGAAGAGTGGCCACGGAGGAGGGAGAACCGACATGAAGCCATCTGAAGAGTGGCCACGGAGGAGGGAGGACCGACATGAAGCCATCTGAAGAGTGGCCACGGAGGAGGGAGGACCGACATGAAGCCATCTGAAGAGTGGCCACGGAGGAGGGAGGACCGACGTGAATCCATCTGAAGAGTGGCCACGGAGGAGGGAGGACCGACGTGAATCCATCTGAAGAGAGGCCACGGAGGAGGGAGGACCGACATGAAGCCATCTGAAGAGTGGCCACGGAGGAGGGAGGACCGACGTGAATCCATCTGAAGAGTGGCCACGGAGGAGGGAGGACCGATGTGAATCCATCTGAAGAGAGGCCACGGAGGAGGGAGGACCGACATGAATCCATGTGAAGAGTGGCCACGGAGGAGGGAGAACCGACATGAAGCCATCTGAAGAGTGGCCACGGAGGAGGGAGGACCGACATGAAGCCATCTGAAGAGTGGCCACGGAGGAGGGAGGACCGACATGAATCCATGTGAAGAGTGGCCACGGAGGAGGGAGGACCGACATGAAGCCATCTGAAGAGTGGCCACGGAGGAGGGAGGACCGACGTGAATCCATCTGAAGAGAGGCCACCGAGGAGGGAGGACCGACATGAAGCCATCTGAAGAGTGGCCACGGAGGAGGGAGGACCGACGTGAATCCATCTGAAGAGAGGCCACCGAGGAGGGAGGACCGACATGAAGCCATCTGAAGAGTGGCCACGGAGGAGGGAGGACCGACATGAAGCCATCTGAAGAGTGGCCACGGAGGAGGGAGGACCGACATGAATCCATGTGAAGAGTGGCCACGGAGGAGGGAGGACCGACATGAAGCCATCTGAAGAGTGGCCACGGAGGAGGGAGGACCGACATGAAGCCATCTGAAGAGTGGCCACGGAGGAGGGAGGACCGACGTGAATCCATGTGAAGAGTGGCCACGGAGGAGGGAGGACCGACGTGAAGCTATCTGAAGAGTGGCCACGGAGGAGGGAGGACCGACGTGAAGCCATCTGAAGAGTGGCCACGGAGGAGGGAGGACCGACATGAATCCATCTGAAGAGTGGCCACTGAGGAGGGAGGACCGACATGAAGCCATCTGAAGAGTGGCCACGGAGGAGGGAGGACCGACATGAAGCCATCTGAAGAGTGGCCACGGAGGAGGGAGGACCGACATGAATCCATGTGAAGAGTGGCCACGGAGGAGGGAGAACCGACATGAAGCCATCTGAAGAGTGGCCACGGAGGAGGGAGGACCGACATGAAGCCATCTGAAGAGTGGCCACGGAGGAGGGAGGACCGACATGAAGCCATCTGAAGAGTGGCCACGGAGGAGGGAGGACCGACATGAAGCCATCTGAAGAGTGGCCACGGAGGAGGGAGGACCGACGTGAAGCTATCTGAAGAGTGGCCACGGAGGAGGGAGGACCGACGTGAATCCATCTGAAGAGAGGCCACCGAGGAGGGAGGACCGACGTGAAGCCATCTGAAGAGTGGCCACGGAGGAGGGAGGACCGACATGAATCCATGTGAAGAGTGGCCACTGAGGAGGGAGGACCGACATGAATCCATGTGAAGAGTGGCCACTGAGGAGGGAGGACCGACGTGAAGCCATCTGAAGAGTGGCCACGGAGGAGGGAGGACTGACGTGAATCCATCTGAAGAGTGGCCACGGAGGAGGGAGGACTGACGTGAATCCATCTGAAGAGTGGCCACGGAGGAGGGAGGACTGACGTGAATCCATCTGAAGAGTGGCCACGGAGGAGGGAGAACCGACATGAAGCCATCTGAAGAGTGGCCACGGAGGAGGGAGGACCGACATGAAGCCATCTGAAGAGTGGCCACGGAGGAGGGAGGACCGACATGAAGCCATCTGAAGAGTGGCCACGGAGGAGGGAGGACTGACGTGAATCCATCTGAAGAGTGACCATGGAGCAGGGAGGACCGATGTGAAGCCATCTGAAGAGTGACCATGGAGGAGGGAGGACTGACGTGAATCCAGCATGTGAGCCCGGGAGATGGCACATCCAGAACCAGTGGGTGCAAGGCCCAGGGCAGCCGAAGTCTTCTCCACCTAAGGGGTTTCGGCAGAGTTGTCTAAAACTCAATACTCCGCCTTACTACAGACCGTGTTCCCCACCAGAAGAACTGAGCTCACTTACGCAGTCAACAAATACCACCTATGGGCTGTCCCCACTTGGATGTTGGCTGGGCTCCACAACTTCATAGGTCCTGAACAAGATGCTTGATTTCCCTCTTCGAACCTGTCTTCCTCACTGCAGTCTGTGCTACGACCATCCACTCCATAGCGGAAGCCCAAACCCGCTAGTAGCCTCAATTTCTTCCCTCGCCTCGTATCACACCCCTCCCATCCCATTCATGAACAAACTCTATAGATTCTCTCTCCAGATATGTCTCACATCCCTCCACTTCTTTTGTCTCTGCAGCCCTCAGTGCAAGCGCCTGCCCCCTCCCACCTGGCTTCCTGCAGGAACCACCCAGCTTGCCTCCTTGCTTCCTGTCTCACTCCACCTAGTCCATTCTCTACACAGCAGCCGAAGTGGCTTTCTAAGCCTTGAATCTGGTCATGTTCCTTCTCTGCTTCATTGTTTCCAGTGGCTTCCCGCAGCCCCCTCTTTACCATGTCCTATCAGGTCATAGCTGCCGTGGCTCCATCCTGACTCTGACCTCATCTTCTCCCACTGTCCCGTTATTCAAGCTCCAGTCACACTGGCCCACCGCAGGGCCTTTACACTTGCTGCATCTCTATTGTCCTTACCTAGGGTAATTTTTCTCTAGAGCACAGGCCTCATGGAACATACTGTGAGTCAGCGCTTCCCAACCTTTTTTTTGAGATGGAGTTTCGCTCTTGTTGCCCAGGTTGGAGTGCAATGGAGCAATCTCGGCTCACCACAACCTCCGCCTCCCAGGTTCAAGCAATTCTCTTGCCTCAGCCTCCCGAGTAGCTGGGATTACAGGCATGCACCACCACGCCCGGCTAATTTTGTATTTTTAGTAGAGACGGGGTTTCTCCATGTTGAGGCTGGTCTCGAACTCCTGACCTCAGGTGATCCGCCCGCCTCGGCCTCCCAAAGTGCTGGGATTACAGGCGTGAGCCACTGCACCCAGGCTTCCCAACCATTTTAACATCAGGACATTCAGAAATTTTACTTCATTTGAGGCTGGGCACAGTGGCTCACACCTGTAATCCCAGCACTTTGGGAGGCTGAGGCAGACAGATCACTTGAGGTTGGGAGTTCGAGACCAGACTGGCCAACATGGTGAAACCCCGTCTCTATGAAAAATACAAAAATTAGCTGGCTGTGGTGGCTCACATCTGTAATCCCAGCTACTCAGGAGGCTGAGGCAGGAGAATCACTTGAACATGGGAGGTGGAGATTGCTGTGAGCCGAGATTGTACCACTGCACTCCAGCCTGGGCAACAGAGCAAGATTGCATCTCAAAAAAAAAAAAAAAAAAAAAATTTTACTTCATTTGTGTATTTTGAGGCCACGTTAACAGGTGACTGAAAGTTAGAAATACTATGCCATCCTGGGAAATTAAACCTTTATTATTATATAGTGATGTGCTTTGCCTCTAGTTTTTGTTTTTTTTTTTAACTGAGTCTATTTTTGTCTGAGACAGGAAGGAATCCCCTCTCCCACCTGCTAAGCTGCCTTTAGTGCCTCTCATTGGCAGAAGCTAACAGGAAGTCAGCTGGCAAGGGAGCTGAAAAATGTGGCTTGCAGACCCTAGCCCCAGCATCTCAGAGCAGATTATAGAAGGGTGAGCGTAGACCAGAAACCAGAGGTAAATAACCAGCACTATTATCTATGTTTTTATGATTTTCTTGTTGTCTTTGATTTCCTACATTTTCACCATGATGGGTCAAGTGTGAATTTCTTTTTTTTTTTTTTTTTGAGATGGAGTCTCGCTCTGTCCCCCAGGCTGGAGTGCAGTGGCGTGATCTCCACTCACTGCAAGCTCTGCCTCCCAGGTTCACGCCATTCTCCTGCCTCAGCCTCCCAAGTAGCTGGGACTACAGGCATCCGCCACCACGCCCGGCTAATTTTTTGTATTTTTATTAGAGACGGCGTTTCACCATGTTAGCCAGGATGGTCTCAATCTCCTGACCTCGTGATCCGCCCGTCTCAGCCTCCCAAAGTGCTGGGATCACAGGCGTGAGCCACCGTGCCCGGCTGTGAATTTCTTTTTTAAAATTCTGCTTGGCATCTATTGGAGTTCTTAAACCTATAGATTGATGTCTTCCATCCATTCAGGAAAATTCTCAACCACAATTTAATATACTGTCTGGTCTGGGGGTCTGGGTCCTCTTTCTCCCCTTCTTCTGAGACTGCAATTAAACATATGTAAGACAGTCTCACTGTAACTTCCATATCTGTAGTCTTCCCTTCTGCATTTCACATCCTTGTGTCTCTCTATGCTTGTTTCTGGATTGTTTTTTCTGACCTGCCTTCTAGTTCTCTAACTCATTTTTCATCCACGTCAAATCTGCTGTTAAACCCATCCATTGAGCTTGAAGTTTTAGTTTGAATTTTTCTTTTTTCTTTTTTTTTTTTTTTTGAGACTGAGTCTCGTCCTGTCACCAAGCTGGAGTGCAGTGGTGTGATTTTGGCTCATTGCAACTTCTGCCTCCCAGGTTCAAGTGATTCTCCTGCCTCAGCCTCCCAAGTAGCTAGGACTACAGGCACACACCACCACACCCAGCTAATTTTTTGTATTTTTTTTTAGTAGAGACGGGGTTTCACCATGTTGGCCAGGATGGTCTTGATCTCTTGACCTCATGATCCACCCGCCTTGGCCTCCCAAAATGCTGGGATTACAGACGTGAGCCACTGAGCCTTACCTGTAGTTTGAATTTTTTAGTCATAGACTTTTTTTTTTTTTTTTTTTTTGAGACTGAGTCTTGCTCTGTCACCCAGGCTGGAGTGCAGTGGCACAATCTCTGCTCATTGCAACCTCGGCCTCCTGGGTTCAAGTAATTCTCCTGCCACAGCCTCCCGAGTAGCTGGGATTACAGGTGCACACCACCACGCCCAGCTAATTTTTATATTTTTAGTAGAGACGAGGTTTTGTCATGTTGGCCAGGCTGGTCTCGAACTCCTGGCCTCAAGTAATCCCCTTGCCTCGGCCTCCCAAAGTGCTGGGGTTACAGGTGCAAGCCACTGCACCTGGCTGACTTTCTATTTATTTCTTTTTCACATATGCTATATAATTTATAGAGCTTCCAGTTCCTTGCTAAAATTTTCAATTTTGGCATTTAATTTCTTGAACATAATACTACTAATTTGTTTTATAGTCTGGAGTTCCTCTGGCTCTATTTCTATTGACTGTTATTTCTGATGATTTTAGCTCAAGGAATCTTGCTTCCTCATGTGTCTTTATTTTTGTATGTTAAACATTGTGTTTCTGAAATTATTTGTAGAACTAATTTGAAATGGAGTGATTTTCTCATTCACCAAAGAGTCTTTCCTTCCTTCCTTCCCTTCTTTCTTTCTCTCTTTCTTTTTTTTTTTGGATGGAGTCTCACTCTGTCACCCAGGCTGAAGTGCAGTGGTGCAATCTCGGTTCACTGCAACCTTCCACTCCCGGGTTCTAGTGATTCTCCTGCCTCAGCCTCCTGAGTAGCTGGGATTACAGGTGACCACCACCACACCAAGCTAATGTTTGTATTTTTGGTAGAGATGGGGTTTCATCATGTTGGCCAGGCTGGTCTCAAATTCCTGACCTCAAGTGATCCTCCGAACTTGGCCTCCCAAAATGCTGGGATTACAGGCGTGAGCCACTGCGCCTGGCCAAAGAGAATTTTCTATTGCTTTTGCCAGGTGCCTGGAGGGATCAGCAAACTGAGATCATTGGAGTTCATACTTAGGGCATGGTGTTTTCTCGGGAACCTGGGTGACTCAAACCTGGACTATCATTCAGGTAAGGACGGCTTTACTTTCAGTTCACCTTTACTTCTGAAATGCAGTCCTTTGGGGGCTGACTCGCGTGTGGGAGGCAGCTTATCACCCACACTCTTGGCAGGCCCCAGACTTAGATATTTATCTCCAGGCATGCAAAGCCACTGAAAGTGAGCTTAGCCTCTCAGCCCTTCTTTTCAATTGGCAAAAGCTTCCAGGGCAACTGCAGCCTCAAGTATCTGGGTCACCTCTTGGGAATCCTGTTCTCTCTCAGATTCAGCATGGCAATTCTTCACTACTTTGTTAGCTCTTTAATGCTTTTTTTTGACATGGAGTTTTGCTTTTGTTACCCAGGCTGGAGTGCAATGGTGTAATCTCAGCTCGCTGCAACCTCTGCCTCCTGGGTTCAAGTGATTTTCCTGCCTCAGCCTCCTGAATAGCTGGAATTACAGGTGCCCACCACCATGCCTGGCTAGTTTTTGTATTTTTAGTAGAGATGGGTTTCACAATGTTGGACAGCCTGGTCTCAAACCCCTGACCTCAGGTGATCCACCCACCTCGGCCTCCCAAAGTGCTGGGACTACAGGCATGAGCCATCACACCCAGCTTTTGTTTTTGTTTTTGTTTTTTTTTTGGAGACAGAGTCTCACTCTATCGCCCAGGCTGAAGTTCAGTGATCTTGGCTCACTGCAACCTCCGCCTCCCGGGTTCAAGCTGTTCTCCTGCCTCAGCACCCCCGGAATAGCTGGGATTACCAGTGCCTGCCACCATGCCCGGCTAATTTTTTTTGTATTTTTAATAGAGACAGGGTTTCACCATGTTGGCCAGACTGGTCTCGAACTCCTGACCTCAGGTGATCCGCCCACCTTGGCCTCCCAAAGTGCTGAGATTACAGGCATGAGCTACCATGCCTGGCCTCTTTGATGCTTTTAAGATTGTGTGTGTCAACTGGACATGGTGGCTCATTCCTGTAATCCCAGCACTTTGGGAGGCTGACCTGGAGGATGGCTTGAGGCCAGGAGTTCAAGGCCAGCTTGGGCAATATGGCGAGACCCCATCTCTAGAAAAATTATAAAAAATTAGCTGGGAATGGTGATGTGTGCCTGTAATCCTAGCTGAGGCAGGAGGATCTTATGAGCCCAGGAGTTTGAGGTTACAGTGAGCTATGATCAGGAGACTGCAGTCCAGCATAGGTGGCAGAGCAAGACCCTGTCTCTTAAAAAAAAAAAAAAAAAAAAAATTGTGTGTGTGTGTGTGTGTGTAAATTTTTAAAACACTTTTGTAGCTGTTTTTATCAGGAGGTTTTGTCCGAAGTACCTAGTCTGCCTTTACTGAAAGGGGAGGTCCTGGTTTACTTTTTAAACTATTTTTATTTTAATTTAGTTTTTTTTTTTTTTTTTAATTTTTAGAGATGGGGTCTCACTATGTTGCTTAGGCTGGTCTCAAACTCCTGGCCTCAAGCAATTCTCCTACCTCGGCCTCCCAAAGCGCTAGGATTACAGATGTGAGCTTCCACGCCCACCGACTTTTTAAAACTATTAAACAATGAGTGTGGGTGATGGATCAGAGGGTACAACGGTGGTTTCGAGGAGACTAGTTGTCCAGAGAGCAAGAAGAAGATACCATGAGCTTGGATGAGGGCATTGGAAGTAGAGCTGGAAAGAGAGCAGATTTGAGAGATACCCTGGCTGTTGAGTTGATAGGACTTGGCATTAGGTTTGTTTGGGGGGTGAGAGAGGTGAGGGTGGTGGGTGCCCTGAGTTTTTGGCATGAGTAACTGGACGGTCCCAGTCGAAGACAGGGTGTCTGAAAAGGAGGACAAGTTGATGAAAGAAGGGTCAGCAGGCCGGGCGCAGTGGCTCACACCTATAATCCCAGCACTTTGGGAGGCCAAGGCAGGAGGATCATTTGAGGTCAGGAGTTAAAGACCAGCTTGGCCAACATGGTGAAACCCTGTCTCTACTAAAAATACAAAAATCAGGCACTTGCCTGTAGTCTTAGCTACTTAGGCAGCTGAGGCACAAGAATCTCTTGAACCTGAGAGGCGGAGGTTGCCGTGGGCCCAGATTGTGCCCCTGCACTCCAGCCTGGGTGACAACAGAGTGAGACTCTGTCTCAAAAAAAAAAAAGGTTAGCAGTTTGCCTTTGGGCATATATGTCTGATGAGGTTTTGGGACTTCCAAGTGAGAATGTCCCATGGGCAGTTGGTTATTTGAGTCTGGAATTCAGGTAGTGATGTATAAAATTGGGAGTTTTCAACAGATGGGGGCATTTTCAACCTGCTTTGATTGGTGCTTATCTTGAATCGAATTATTTTAATTATAGCCTGAGCAACATAGTGAAACCCTGTCTCTACAAAAATTTTTAAAAATAGCTGGGCATGGTTGTGTGTGCCTATCATTCCAGCTACCCGGGAGGCTGAGGCAGAACAGCTTGAGCCCAGGAAATCAAGGCTGCAGTCAGCTATGATCACACCACTGTGCTCCAGCATGGGCGACAGAGCAAGACCCTGTCTCTGACAGAAAAGAAAGGAAAGGAAAGAAAGGAATATTTTAATCAGAGTATTTGCCAACACTGATTGTTTTGTCAATAAAGCATTCTTGGAACAAGAGGCATTAAAGTAAATTAATTGATTGATAAAATGTAAGTACGGGGCCAGGCGCGGTGGCTCATGCCTGTAATCCCAGCACTTTGAGGGGTCAAGGTGGGCAGATCACCTGAGGTCGGGGGTTCAAAACCAGCCTGACCAACATGGAGAAACCCCATCTCTACTAAAAATACAAAATTAGCTGGGTGTGCGCATGTCTGTAATCCCAGCTACTCGGGAGGCTGAGGCAGGAGAATCGCTTGAACCCGGGAGGCGGAGGTTGCGGTGAGCCAAGATTGCTCCATTGTACTCCAGCCTGGGCAACAAGAACGAAACTCCATCTCAAAAAAAAAAAAAAAAGAAGGCCGGGCACGGTGGCTCATGCCTATAATCCCAGCACTTTGGGAGGCCGAGGCAGGCGGATCACGAGGTCAGGAGATTGAGACCATCCTGGCTAACACGGTGAAACCCCGTCTCTACTAAAAATAGAAAAAAAAAATTAGCCAGGCGTGGTGGTGGGCGCCTGTAGTCCCAGCTACTCGGGAGGCTGAGGCAGGAGAATGGAGTGAACCTGGGAGGCAGAGCTTGCAGTGAGCCGAAATCGCGCCATTGCACTCCAGCCTGGGCGACAGAGCGAGACTCCGTCTCAAAAAAAAAAAAAAAAAAAGTAAATATGGCACAGTCAAACCACTTATTTTTTGCATAAAAATTTTATTTTGTGGAAATTATTTTCACTGGTATCAATTTAATTCAATTTTTAATTTGAATTTAATTTAATTTGATTCAATTTTTTTCTTTTTTGAGATGAGTTTCACTCTGTTGCCCAGGCTGGCATGCAGTGGCGTGATCTCAGTTCACGGCAACCTCGGCCTCCCAGGTTCAAGCAATTCTCCTGCTTCAGCCTCCCAAGTAGCTGGGATTACAGGCACCTGCCACCACGCCTGGCTAATTTTTGTATTCTTAGTAGAGATGGGGTTTCTCCATGTTGGCCAGGCTAGTCTTGAACTCCTGACCTCAGGTGATCCACCCACCTCGGCCTCCCAAAGTGCTGGGATTATAGGCGTGAGCCACCGCACCCGGCCTGATTCATTTGTTAAACAAAATTGATTTCTTCATCATCTGTTTGCATTTCCTTTTGCAGCCATTGTTTCTACCAAGCCCCAGTCTCTTGGATAGGATTTTGCAGATCTAAGTTATTTAAAGAAGATTTGGCTTTTCTGTCATTTTAAAGTTAATCATAAATTTTACCCAGTGCAGGTTTAGCAGTGGTCAATTTTATTTTGTGGTGTGGGGTGGAAAAGTGATCATTTCTATGCATTTCTTAGGGAATCCAAGAAAAATTTTTGAGCAGTTTTGTGAACAATAGAGAGAGGAGGCGCCGGGCGCGGTGGCTCACACCTGTAATCCCAGCACTTTGGGAGGCTGAGGCGGGTGGATCACGAGGTCAAGAGATGGAGACCATCCTGGCTAACATGGTGAAACCCCGTCTCTACTAAAAATACAAAAATTAGCCAGGCGTGGTGGCACGTGCCTGTAGTCCCAGCTACTTGGGAGGCTGAGGCAGGAGAATCGCTTGAACCCGGGAGGCGGAGCTTGCAGTGAGCCAAGATTGTGATTGCGCCACTGCACTCCCGCCTGGCGACACAGACTCCGTCTCAAAAAAAAATAAAAAAATTTAAAAAAAAAAACGAGAGAAAAGGAGAAAGGGAGGGGAGGGAGATGGGGGAGAGTGGGGCGAGCATGAGAGGATGCACAGTAAAACAGGTCGAAATAGGGTTTAAAAATGCCCTGCTGAAGTACTCCGCATATTGAACCCCGGGACGGGACGAGATGGTCTGGAGAAAACAGAGAACAGGGCTCAAGGTCAAGGCTGGAGGGGCTGCCAGATGTGGGAGCAGGTAAAGGAGGAGGTGGACCGGCAAGACCCTTGGAGGGAGCCATCAGAGGGGGAGAAGGAAACCAGGCACGGGCCCCGCCCCGTCCACCCCATCCTGGCCCGGGGATGCCGCTGCGGAGCGCGGAGCTGGCTGCCTTCAGGGCAGGGACGGAGAAGACGTGGGCGGCGAGTGCTTGCCCGTGCTGGGGAAGAGAGGCCCGGGGAAATGACGGGCGCCCGCCTACCTCCTCATCTCCAGGCGCTGCAGGTGATTCAACCGCCTCTTTTGTGCAGGATGACCGCCAGTCTGGGTTTCTGGGGCCAGGTACCCTCGGGAGACACTGTTGGCCCTACCATGTTCCACGCCGGCGCACTGTCCACTTGTTCAGTGTGCCTTGTCGAGTCTGCTGATTTAGCAAATAAAAATACAGAACACTCAGGTAAATTGCAACTGCAGATAACCAGGTTCTCTTTTTCTTTACTTTTCTTCTTCTTTTTTTTTTTTTTTTTTTTTGAGACGGAGTCTCACTCCGTCGCCCAGGCTGCAGTGCAGTGGCGCTACCTCGGCTCACTGCAAGCTCCACCTCCCAGGTTCAAGCAATTCTCCTGACTCAGCCTCCCGAGTAGCTGAGATTACAGGCACCCACCACCACGCCTGGCTAATTTTTGTATTTTTAGTAGAGACGGGGTTTCGCCATCTTGGCCAGGCTGGTCTTGAACTCCTGACCTGGTGATCCACCAGCCTCGGCCTCCCAAAGTGGTGGGATTACAGGCATGAGCCACCACGTCAGGCTTTGTTTGCTTTTTGAGACAGGGTCTTGCTCTGTCACCCAGGCTGGAGTGGAGTGCAGTGGCGCCACCAGGGCTCACTGCATCCTCAACTTTCTGAGTTCAAGCGATGCTCCCGCCTCAGCCTCTGCCCGGCTAATTTTTATATTTTTTGTAGAGAAAAGTTCCCCATGTTACCCAGGCTGGTCTCGAACCCCTGGCCTCAAGCAATCCTCCCACCTCTGCTTCCCAAAGTGCTGGGTAATATTATAGGTGAGTCACTGCACCCAGCAACAATCAGGTTTTTTTTTATACCATTGTTTACACTTAAAAATTTGTTATCTGGCCGGGCACGATGGGTCACGGCTGTAATCCCAGCACTTTGGGAGGCAGGGGTGGGTGGATCACTTGAGGTCAGGAGTTCAAGACCAGCCTTGCCAACAGGCTAGCAGAGATGAGGTGAAACCCCATCTCTATTAAAAATAGAAAAATTGGCTGGGCTGTAGAGGTGGGTGCCGGTAATCCCAGCTACTCAGGAGGCTGAGGCAGGAGAATCGCTTGAACCTGGGAGACAGAGGTTGCAGTGAGCCAAGATCGCGTCACTGCACTCCAGCCTGGGCGACAGAGTGAGACTCTGTTTCAAAAAAAAAAAAAAATGTTATCTGAAATTCACATTTAACTGGGTGTTCTGCATTTTGTCTGGCAACCTTACTTCTCTTCCAGTTCCCCTCCTCTTCCTCTCAGGCCCACCTGAACAATGCAGCCCACTCCCTGTGGGCCGGCTGCTCCTGCTTGCTGGCTGAGGCCCTCCCTAGGTTGATGCCACCTCCATGCCAGTCACCAGCGTTATTATCATCAGGTCCATGCTCATCTTTGATCTTGCCATTGATAACCTTCAGGATACATTTGGCAGGCTTTCAAATTAACCACCAGGGAAGGTGAAGGTCTTAGGATTCGGGGCTTATATCCTGTCACAGGAAGAGTAAAGAATCTTCCTGTGAGCTCCTCTGTGAGTTCCTCAAACTGTTAACATACTGATTAATACATAACCTACTGACGCTGAAAACGACACTGATCTGTTTCTGAATCCCGAAGCTTTGCTGATTGTCCTGCATGAACGTTTTAGGCTGGGCACGCGGAGGCGCATACCCAGCACTTCTGAAGCCTGAGGCAGTTGGATCGCTTGAGGTCAGGAGTTCGAGACCACCCTGGCCAAATGGTGAAACCCCGTCTCTACCAAAAAAATACAAAAATTAGGTGGGCATGGTGGAGTGCACCTGTAGTCCCAGCTGCTCAGGAAGCTGAGGTGGGAGGATTGTTTGAACCTGGGAGGCAGAGGTTGCAGTGAGTGAGATTGAGATTGCACTGAACTCCAGCCTGGACAACAGAATGAGACTCTGTCTCAAAGAAAAAAAAATTTAGCCTGCATGTTGTCATCTGCAGCCCACGATTGTAACCTCTGTATTGCACCTCTAATGCAAAAGGACAACTCTGGTATGAGGAGTCCCCCCGCTTCCCTAAAACTTCTTAGAAAAGCTTCCCATGCCTCCACCTTGTAGCGGACTCTGGAACACACCCAGCTTTCTTGGAGTGACTTTGTTAGTGTGTCTTCCTGCGCTGATCCTCACATTTGGCTTCCAATAAACCTCTATCAAGTCATGTCTGCCCCAACAGCCTTAATTTTGGTCTGCATCATGTAAAACTCTGCCCGAGGGAGTGTAACCGGAGACCCAAAACACCCGTTGTATTTGATGGTGACATTTTCATTCAGGAATTTTGACTACAAAGACTGGATTTCTGGCTTCTTGAAGCTGTGGCAGCCCCACGCCCAGTTTTCTACTTGGCCTCATCACCAAAAGCTAAGAGTTCCTCTCCTTTTTAGAAAGTTGGTAGTCTCTGCTTCTCCTTGGCCACCCCTATAACCTGTTCTTGTCCTGTGGGAGCTTTTGCTTGACCCCACTTCACAGGCTGGGGTCCAGTTCCCCAGCTTGACCCTCAAGGCCTTTCCCACTCAGGCAGCTTTGCCTCTCTGCCGCTTTCCCTCCCTATTCCTTTCCTTTCTTCACCTTCCTCTCCTGGCCCAGGGAACACTGGATGACTCCGTCGTATGTCCCATCCCACTGGCCTCCCTGTCTCGGCACCTGCAGGCCCCGTCGCCCAACAGGCAGTTCTTCCTGTGGTTACATCCTACTCATTCATCCAGGCCCTGACCACATGCACATCCTCCAGAGACCCTCGCTTGTCTCCCTGTTGGAAAGTGCTCCCTGCTTCCCTCCTCTGGCCACCCACAAAGCCATTGCTATCCCTTATCAGCCCTTTTCTACATACACATGCACACATGCACACACATGCGCACACACACGCACGCACGCATACATGCCCACACACATACACACGTGCGTACACACACACATCCCTTACCAGCCGCTTTTACACACACACACACACACACACACACACAGAGCTAAGCATCCGCTGTGTAGATGCTGGGGAAGCAACTAGGGAAATGACCTTTGGGAGTGTTAAAGAAAAAAGTGAGGGTGGGCAAGGTGGTTCACATCTGTTATCCCAGCACTTTGGGAGGCCAAGGCATGAGGATCACTTGAGCCCAGGAGTTCAAGACCACCCTGGCCAACATGGCAGGACCCGGTCTCTACAAAAAATTATCCAGGTGTGGCAGCGCATGCCTGTAGTCTCAGCCACTCTGGAGGCTGAGGTGGGACTATCGTCTGAGCCCGGGAGGTCAAGGCTGCAGTGAGCCGTGTTGGTGCCTGTAGCAAAACAAAACAAAACAAAAGTCATTCAATAATACTTGTTAAAGCACAGTAAAGGTTGGGTGCACACAAGGTAAAGGCAGGGCTCACGCCTGTAATCCCAGCACTTTGGGAGGTCGAGGTGGGTGGATCACCTGAGGACAGGAGTTTGAGACCAGCCTGGCCAACATGGTGAAATCCCATTTCTACTAAAAATACAAAAATTAGCTGGTCAAGGCCGGGCGCAGTGGCTCACGCCTGTAATCCCAAAACTTTGGGAGGCCGAGGCGAGTGGATCACAAGGTCAGGAGTTCAAGACCAGCCTGGTCAATACGGTGAAACCCGTCTCTACTAAAAATACAAAAATTAGCCGGGCGTGGTGGCAGGCACCTGTAGTCGCAGCTACTTGGAAGGCTGAGGCAGGAGAATTGTTTGAACCTGGGAGGCGGAGGTTGCAGTGAGCCAAGATTGTGCCACTGCACTCCAGCCTGGGTGACAGAGTGAGACTCTGTCTCAATAATAATAATAATAATAAAATTAGCTGGGTGTGGTGGCATGTGCCTGTAATCCCAGCTACTCGGGAGGCTGAGGCAGAGAATCACTTGAACCTGGGAGGCGGAGGCTGCAGTGAGCCAAGATCGCGCCACTGCACTCCAGCCTAGGTGACACAGTGAGACTCCATCTCAAAAAAAAAAAAAAAAAAGAAAAAAAAGCACAGTAAGGCAGACTTTATTCAGGACCATGGAGATAGACACAGGAACTGCTGGAGTGGGCTCTTGCAGTTGGGGAGAGAGACTGGGCTCAACTCCCAGTACAGCATGGGCGAGTGGGGGGTGATAGCCAAGGAGCAGGGTGGGGGCCAGGGGATGGGGAATTACTAAGAGCAACATCAGGGGTCGGGGATTCTAGCTAAACTCACCTAACACGATTCTAGCTGAAGACAGGCTAGGGTGACCAGACATCACCAGAGGGGTGATGGGGAGGAGAAGCCTGACCAGATATCAAGGGTGATCAGATATGGAGGGTGGGGGGTTTCTGCCACAGTGAGCTAGCAGGGTTCTTGCTAAAACTGGATTGTATAAGGAAGCACACAGATGGGTCTAGGAGAAGCCTCAGGGGCCCGACTAATATTGGGTCAAGCAGAGTCCTTGTCAGGAGCCTCCGGGTGACTTGTCTGTCTGCACACCTCAGGGGAGGAGAGGCCCCTGACCTGGGCTACCAGGCCAGACTGAGAATAAACTCCTCTACGGAGAAAACATTCAGCAACCTGTAACTTAAAAGAGGACTTTCCAGACTGCGAAAACAACCAAAGCAAGGTCACTGCGTCTGAAGGGGCGTGGCCCACCTGGAGCCCAAGGCAGCCTTCCCTTCTGGGAAGGCGGGGAGGGAGCTGAAAGGGAGCAGAGGCTGACCACAAACTGTCCTGGAGGCTACGCTCAAGACTTTTTTTTTTTTTTTCTGAGACTGAGTCTGGCTTTGTCACCAGGCTGGAGTGCAGTGCCGCAATCTCAGCACACTGCAACCTCCGACACCCTGGTTCAAGCAATTCTCCTGCCTCAGTCTCCGGAGTAGCTGGGACTACAGGCATGTGCCACCACACCCAGCTACTTTTCGTATGTTTAGTGGAGACGGGGTTTCACCATGTTGACCAGGATGGTCTCGATCTCCTGACCTCGTGATCTGACCACCTCAGCCTCCCAAAGTGCCGGGATTACAGGCGTGAGCCACCGCGCCCTGCCAAGACTTTTGTTGACTCCAGCATAATTGGAAAACCAGTTGAGTTTTTAAAGCACAGAGGTTACATAATAAGTCTGTATTTTGCTAGAATGTAAAACCCATCAGGGCAGGGATTTTGGTCTGTTTTATTTCCAGAACACCTGGTAATAACTGAATAAACAATTGTGTAATGTATGAGTGAGCGAATGAGTGAATGGGCTGCAGGAAGGTAGATCATGCTGGCCACAGTGCAGAGATTGACTTAAGTGGGCAGAGTCTGGGAAGGGAGGTCAGGAGGCTGGGATACCAGGAGAGAATGAAAAGGGCCAGTTGGTGCAGAGAGCAGCCGGGGACAGACTGGAGGGGACAAGTGGAGAGGTTTAGAGGTGACTTTACAGTGTACTTCATACTTCAAAAGTCTGGCACAGACTAGCCATTTGTGGACATTCTAGATCTGATCAAAAGCAGAACCACCTGGCCCTTGACTCCAGCAACACCATGGCTGGCCTGGAATTTCCTCCCCGGCAACGGTCGTTCTCACAGCATTTCTTCCCAGTTTACTTAGAGCTTTCGCAGACATTGCCTCATCAGATCCTTATCACAGCCCTGAGGATGGGGACTCATTAGCTCCATTTTACAGACTCAAAAACAGAGGCCAAGAAAGGTTATGTGACTTCCCTGGGGTAACACATGGGAAACATGGAATTCAGATCCAGGTCCACCAGTCTCTGCCTCCAGGGTCCTTTCTGCTTCCTCACTCAATTGGAGAGATGTGATTAGCAAATGTGAAAGAGAGCACCAGGCAGCGTGTGGATTCAGCATGAAATGGGATATTAAGAGTGATATTAATAATAATGCATGGCTCTGATGTTCATCAAGCACTGCTGTGTGCCAGCTTCTACTCCAAGCACTTGACCCGAGTCCCCTCATTCATTCCTCAGACACTCTTTGAGTTTGGTCTGTCATTCTCCCCATTTTACACGTAGTACTGGCCAAGCACGTGAGGGACACCACTGTGGGCTTAGCCACCAGGGAAGGCCTCAGAGAGGACGTAAGATGCGGGCAGGGGAGGAAGAAGGCACCTTGAGGCAGGCTTGGCTTGAGCGAAAGTGTGGAGGAGTGGGTGAGAAAGGAGGGGAGAAGCCAATGGGTGCATGAGACAAGGCCCTGGCCTGCGTGCTCTCCAGGAGGGGCCAGGCCTGGCATTGAGGTCTGGCCACAGTAAGTCCCTAGGGCAGGGGCTGACAACAGGGTGATGAGGGTGCCCTGGGCTTCGGTGAGGAAGAGGGGTGGGAGAGGGAGACAGCTGGCTGGTCAGGGCACTGCGGGTTGGTTTGGAAGTCCTGTGCTCAATCTGTCCTCCCACCCCAGCCTCCCAAGTAGCTGTGACCACAGGCAACGCGACCACACCCAGCAAATTTTATTTATTTATCTTTTTGAGACAGGGTCTCACTCTGGTTGCCCAGGCAGGTGTGCAGTGGTGTGATCTCTGCTCACTGCAGCCTCAACCTCCCTGGCTTAGGTGATTCTCCCACCTCAGCCTCCCAAGTAGCTGGGACTACAGACAAGTGCCACCACACCCGGCTAATTTTTGTATTTTTAATAGAGATGGGGTTTTGCCATGTTGCCCAGGCTGGTCTCAAGCTCCTGGACTCAAGCAATCCGCCTGCCTTGGCCTCCCAAAGTGTTGGGATGACAGGCATGAGCCACTGTCCCGGCCAGCACCCAGCAAATTTTATGTAGCACATTTTAAGATGCCAGTAAACCAGAGGTTGCACACTGGTGCCCATAGGTTTGTTTTGTTTTGTTTTGTTTTGTTGTTTGTTTTTGAGATGGAGTCTTGCTCTGTCGCCCAGGCTGGAGTGCAGTGACACAATTTCGGCTCACTGCAAGCTCCGCCTCCCGGGTTCATCCATTCTCCTGCCTCAGCCTCCCGAGTAGCTGGGACTACAGGAACCCACCATCATGCCTGGCTAATTTTTTTGTATTTTGAGTAGAGACGGGGTTTCACCGTGTTAGCCAGGATGGTCTCGATCTCCTGACCTCGTGATCTGCCCACCTCGGCCTCCCAAAGTGCTGGGATGGTGCCCATAGGTTTTTGTTTGCTTCACAGTGTTGATTCATATAGTGTGTTGTGTTTGAAAAATTAATTGAGACCATCCTGGCTAACATGGTGAAACCCCGTCTCTACTAAAAATACAAAAAATTAGGTGGGCATGGTGGCACGTGCCTGTAGTCCCAGCTACGTGGGAGGCTGAGGCAGGAGAATCGCTTGAACCTGGGAGGTGGAGGTTGCAGTGAGCCGAGATCGCACCACTGCACTCCAGCCTGGGTGACAGAGTGAGACTCTGTCTCAAAAAAAAGAAAAAAAAAAAAAAAAAGAAAAACTAATAACCAACTCAAAAAATCAACATTTCAAATCCAAACCCAAATTATACTGATTCCTATTCGAAAACGAGAGGATCTGGGGATGCAGGGCCTCACTTCTGCATGGCAGCAATTGGCTGAAACACCTCTTGGCTGCAGTCCCCACCACTCCGTATTGCTACGCTCCACCCGTCTCACTCACCCATGCCGCTTGCTTGGCCCCCTTAGGCATTGAGTTTGCAACACCCAGTTTAGATGAACTGACGCATGATTGGAGAAGGGACTAGACTGTCTAGTGATTTGAAACTAGTCATATGAGGACCAGCTGGAGCAATGGGGAATATTTACCCGCTGGGGGCTTGATCACGGCTTTCTCATTCAAAGGGCTAAGACAGAGAAGAGGTCAGATCGGTTCTATACCACCCCCGCAAAAAACTAGAACCAGTGGACGTGCGTGCAGGGAGCGAGGAGAGGAGGCAACAGGGAGGCAGATTTACTCTCAAACTGAGGCAGACTTTTGAACATCATAACCGTTTCAAGATGCAACAGTCATGTCAGGGAGTGGCGAGCTCCCTCGCACAGAGGTGGGGGCCGTGTTTAGGCTGAGCCTGGGCAGCAGCTTCACCACAAATGTTTACAGAAAATCCAAGTGTTACGTGGGCAGCTGAACTGGATGCCCTCTGCGGTTTCTCCCAGCCCTCTAGGGCCGGGCTCTGTGCCCACAAATGGGATGCCAGGGTGAAGGAGAAGGAAGAGCTAAAAATGACTCCTCCACTGCTGGCCTGGAAGCCTGGAAGATGCTGCTGCTGGTGTAAGCGAAGAACTTAGGATGAAATTGATTGGTGGGAATGGCAGGAGAAGATTTTTTTGTGATACAGTGTCAGAAAAGCAAGGAGTTTGGGTCAGACCAGTTACGTCTTTGAAGCTTTCCACGTGTCTGTGTCTTCCTTGGAGCACCTCCCAGTGTTGTCAGGAGGATTTAGAGAAAACAGCCTGCCCAGTGCTTTTGCTTGACTAGCAGAGACAGCTGGATAAAGGTGAGTGCCCCACCCCCACTCCAGCCTGAGAGACCCTAGGGTTCTGGAACTGTGAAGTGCCACGCCTGAGTTCTGCTCCTGCCCTGGTGGCCGAAGTCTGACATCCACTTTCTGTCTGCTGGAGGGAAAAGCATGGTGGATGACCTCTAGAGGCCCTGCCAGCTCTGGGCCACTTCAGTCCTGACAGGAACCTGGGTGTCCAAGCTCTGTGTCCAAGAGGGCCAGGCTGGAGGCCGGAGCAGTGGAGTTGGGAGGCCTGGAGGCAGCTCCTTCAAATGCGCGTCTGCCATGGGAAAGGGAGATGCTCGGAGCTCACTTTTTGATATGGTTTTGACTTTCGAATCATGAACATTATCTTACATACTCAAAAAGTGCAGTTAAACCAAAAAAGGAAAAAACAACAACCTGAAATAGAATACAAATAGAAAAGAAGCTGGGAGCGGTGACTCACACCTGGAGTCCCAGCATTTTGGGAGGCTGAGGCAGGCAGATCACTTGAGGCCGGGAGTTCAAAACCAGCCTGGCCATCATGGTGAAACCTCATCTCTATTAAAAATACAAAAATTAGCCAGGCATGGTGGCACACATCTGTAATCCTAGCTACTAGGGAGACTGAGGGACAAGAATCGATCCAACCTGGGAGGCGGAGGTTGCAGTGAGCCAAGATTGTGCCACTGCACTCCAGCCTGGGTGACAGAGCAAGACCCTGTCTCAAAAAAAAAAAAAAAAAAAAAAAGAAAAGAAAATGATGCTAGGTATGGTGACTCATGCCTGTAATCTCAGCAAGGCCAAAGCAGGAAGATTGCTTGAGGCCAGCAATTCAAGACCAGACTGGGCAACAAAGCAAGACCCCCATCTCTACCAAAAAATGAAAATAAAAAGTTAGCCAGGTGTAGTGGCATACACATGTAGTCCCAGCTACTCGGGAGGCTGAGGTGGGAGAATTGCCTGAGCCTGGGAGGTCAAGGCTGCAATGAGCTGAAATCGCACCACTGCACTCCAGCCTGGGTGAAAGAGCGAGATCTTGTCTAATCTGGAACTCCCGGGCTCAAGTGATCCTCCCACCTCAGCCTCCCAATCTGAAACTCCTGGGCTCAAGTGATCCTCTGACCTCAGCCTCCCAACGTGGTGGGATTACAGTCATGAGCCACCACGCCCAGCCTCTTTATTTTGACAAGGGCTCACTCTGTTGCCCAGGCTGGAGTGCAGTGGCACAATCTTGACTCACTGCAGCCTTGACTTCCCGGGCTCAAGTGATCCTTGTGCCTCAGCCTTCAGAGTAGCTGGGACTAACCCAGGTGTGCACCACCATGCCTGGCTAATTTTTAAAAATTTTTGTAGAGACAGGGTCTTGCTTTTTTGTCCAGGCTGGTCTTGAACTCCTGGGCTCAAGTGAACCGCCCATCTCGGCCTCCCAAAGTGCTGGGATTACAGGCATGAGCCGCTGCACCCAGCATGGTGGTGTATTTCTGAAATAAATGATTGTGTGTGTTTTGCAGGCTACATATATTTTTGTGATTTTGAAGAACAGTGTTATTTGTCTGAGCTCGCTGGGATGGCTCATAGCAAAGCAAGCATTTTAACAAGTAGATACCTGGCAAATGACCCCCCAGCATGTGGGATTCAGCTGGGCTGGAAACAGCCCCCGCCTCTCAGCCCCAAGGCTGTTGTGGGTCGCTGAGTGGATAGCACCCCCTGCAGGACAACGCTTGCCAAGTGCCTGTCCCTGGAACATCGTCTAGCATGTTCATTACAATTTACAATTTTTCTAACACCAAAAATTGGATCCTCCTCTTCCCCCGTCAGGTTTTATGGGAGGCGATGTCGGCATTCGTAGGGCCTGTGCCTTTTCTGTGACTCAGTGATGGGCCAGTGGAAACGGCCGTTTCCACAGTTGGACAGAACGAGGTTTGTGTCCTGGTGTTGCTCACAGACGTCTCAACCAGACGGAGTCCGGACTCCACCACGTGGCAATAACGAGAAGGTAGCTCTCGGGGCGGTGGTGGGTTGAGATTAGATACATGAAGAGGCTGTCCCAATGTGAGCTGGGTTATAAACCCAAGAGAGGGGGCATGGGAGCCGAGGAGGGGACCGCATCAGAGGCCACCAGGCTGAGTAGGGCGGGCTTTTCACAGGGGCCTGGGTCACGGCTGTGATAAGCCCCCCGTTGTGGAATGCAGAAGGCCATGGTCTCTCAGTGAGTCGGGCAGGGCCATGGTGCGTGCCCAGGTC
This sequence comes from Homo sapiens, assembly GCF_000001405.40. NCBI lineage: Eukaryota > Metazoa > Chordata > Mammalia > Primates > Hominidae > Homo > Homo sapiens. The sequence continues at coordinate 178,075,774 of NC_000005.10, read as the reverse complement.
TACTTGACTCCAAGTCTTGTGTTCTTTCCCCTGTGGGACCTTCAGGGGTTTTGCAAATAGAGGTCCCACTCTCCAAGGGCTTCCTGTTGCACTGGGCAGAAGGGAGGGTAGAACCTGCCCAGCTGCGTCCTCTACTCTGAGCCTTTCTCTGCCATTTCTTCACCAGATGGCAGCTTCCTGCCTGGGAATGGAGAACTCGAGTGGCCACCCAGCATGACAGGCAGCCTCCCCACCCACTTAACCTCATGGGAGGTCCTGTGAACCCTCCACCTCCATCTCACGGGGCCTGAAGCCCACAGGGGGATCCTTAAGCAGTTGGAGTGGGTCCTGGGGCCAGCCCAGGGCTGGCACGGGGTTCGCATTTCACTTCTGGGCCATGGCAAGCTCTGGTTCAGAGCCTTAGCTCGGCAGCAGCCCCTCTGCACCAAGTCACTTGGCCCCTGCCACAGCATCACAGCCTGGAGCCCAACAGGATGAGCCCAGCTCATGCTTCTGAAGCACGGCTATTCTGACAGCCCTGGTCTTGGTGCTCATCACTTGCTTCTCACTGTGCTTTACAGGCAGAATGGGGACAAGAGCTTTAAGTTCTATCATTGTGATTCTTTTTTTTCTGCTGCAGTCCCTTATATGTAGCCTCCGACCAAATACAACTTTTGCCTTTGTGCTATTGCTGGAATGCAAAGCTTCTACTTCAGATGAGCGCTGAGAGCCAACAAGGTTGAAATGGAAAAGGATTTCCTCAATGTCTTTAGCTCCCGGGTCAGGTAGACAAGCTCGGAGGTCTTCAAACTGGGGGTACACAGGTTTCTGGGTGCACAAAGTCTTTCTAGGAGGGAAGAAAAATAGGTTTTGCTACTTTATTGACTAGTGAAAAGCAGCATGGTGGGGTGTGGCTCGCTTCTTCAGTGCTGCCTCTGCTCAAACCTCTATGGGTGCATACAGATGGGCAGGCTGTGGAGCTCCGACCCCACAGCACCGTCTAGGGGTGAATGTTCACAGCTCCTGAAGCCCCAGTGGGCGTGTGTACCATGTGCTCTTTCAGTTTAGCCGCCCATAGATGGTTTGTATTAGTCACAGCTCAATTAGACCCCTGCCTTATCACAAGAACAAAGGGCTTTCTGTGTCCTGTGGTCCTTGCTTTGGTGTAGCGGAAGAATTGGATCACACATGGTCTTGGTGAATGAGTGCAAGGTTTTATTGAGTAGAAGTAGCTCTCAGATGGGGGAGCCAGAAGGGAGATGGTTTTCTCCTGGAGTCGGGCCACTCGGTGGCCCGAGATCTCCTCCAACTGCCCCAGCCAAACGCTACGTCATTCTACCAGTCGATGGCCTGCCAGCATGCCTGTCGGTGTGTTCCTCTCCACATCCAGCCTCCTGTGTGTCTTCTGGCTACAGTCTTGGGGTTTTTTCCAGGCACAAGATAGGGGTGTGGCAGGCCAGGGTGGTCTTGGGAAATGCAACATTTGGGCAGGAAAACAAAAATGCCTGTCCTTACCTAGGTCCGTGGGCACAGGCTGGGGGTGGAGTCCTAGCCAGGGACCATGAACTCCTCTACCCAGCACTTCCTTTCCCCTCTTCTGTATCATTTAAAGGGACCACACTCTTCCCTTCCCAGCACTTCCCTTCCATATCACTAATATATGGAATTAAAAAAAAATTTTTTTTGAGGCGGGGTCTCACTCTGTCACAGAGGTTGGAGTGCAGTGGCATGATCTCGGCTCACTGCAACCTCTGCCTTCCAGGTTCAAGCGATTCTCATGCCTCAGCCTCCCAAGTAGCTGGAACTACAGGCATGCACCACCATGCCCAGCTAATTTAACACCTGGCTAATTTTTGTATTTTGAGTAGAGACGGGGTTTCGCCATGTTGGCCAGGCTGGGTTCGAACTCCTGACCTCAGGTGATCCGACCGCCTCAGCCTCCCAAAGTGTTGGGATTACGGGTGAAAGCCACTGCGCCTGGCCTAAAACATTTTTGTAAAAGATTTATCTATGATTCTTAGCTGATGTATCTTGAAAATTTGGGTAGTGCCAGAAAATATTGCAGTGATACTGGATGGTATGTTTACATTCCAGTGACAGGCAGAGCTTTAGGGAATCAGTTTCCAGGACTCAACTTCCATATGTCTTCTTGCCTAAAGTTGGCCAGGCTGGAACAGCATCTGAGGTGACAGTCTCTCTTCTCCATGATGCCTGCCCCAGATGTCACTGTGTGGGGTTGTCCCCCTTTGATGAAGTTCTGAAGGTAGGGGCATGGGAATGAGGTTAGGGAATTCAACGCAATTTTTTTTTTGAGACAGGGTCTCACTCTCTTGCCCAGGCTGAATACAGCACAATAGCAATCATGGCTCACTGCAGCCTCAGACTCCCGGGCTCAAGCAATCGTCCCACTTTAGCCTCTCTAGCAACTGGGACTCCAGGCATGCACCACCAGGCCCGGCTAATTTTTTAATTTTTATGTTTATTTTTGTAGAGACAGGACCTTGCTATGTTGCCCAGGCTGGTCTTGAACTCCTAGGCTCAAGCGATTCTCCTGCCTCGGCCTACCAAGTAGCTGGGACTACGGCCGTAAATCACCATGCCCGGCTAAGATGGCAATTTAAATTTAGTTCACTGCTTTGCATTTCACACCTCCTCTTTTGTCTAGAAATGCATCTTTCTGGAGGGAATCCCCTAAGAGCAAAGCCAAGAGAGCTACATAGAAAATACCAGCCCCTTTGGAAGCGCTTCTGTCCCTGTTCTCAGCGCTCATCTTAGGACGCGTCCTTAGCAGGACAAGCCTCAGAGCATCGGGAGCAGCAGAGGGTGGTGGTGCTGAGTCTTGCGTGGAGCCGGCCTGTTCTCTGGGAATACCAGCGTTTTCAGACATGTTGGCTGGAACTCACAGATGATATTTTTGTGAGATTTATTTCAGATGCTGTGTGTTAGTCAAGAACGGAGCCAAACTCTTTCGTCAAATCATATAATGGAATATATATATTTTCCTTTTATTTCATCTTTAAAATGTTTAATATTTTCTTTAAATGAAAAACAATTAAAATTTTTATATATTTATTTTTTGAGATAGGGTCACCTGGACTGGAGTGCAGTGGTGTAATCATAGCTTGTTGTAACCTCGAACTCCTGGGCTCAAAGTATCCCCTCACCTCAACCTCTTGAGTAGCTGGGACTATAGGCACTTGCCACCACACCTGAGTTTTATTTTTTATTTTTTTTGTAGAGAGGAGGTCTTGTTATGTTGCCCAGATTGGTGCTTAAACTCCTGGGCTCCAGTGATCCTCCTGCCTTGGCCTCCCAAAGTGCTGGGATTACACACATAAGCCACAGCCTTCTTTGCTTTGCTCCTAGGGGATTCCCTCAAGAGGAATGCATTTCTAGACAAAAGGGGAGGTGGGAAGTCACCCTGGATATAAAATATTTAATATTTTCTTTTCTATTTCTGTTATAAAAAGAGGCCAGGCATGGTGGCTCACACCTGTAATCCCAGCACTTTGAGAGGCCGAGTAGGGCGGATCATCTGAGGTCAGGAGTTCAAGACCAGTCTGGCCAACATGGCGAAACCCTATCTCTACTAAAAATACAAAAATTAGCCAGGCATGTTGATGGGCACCTGTAATCCCAGCTACTCGGGAGGCTGAGGCAGGAGAATTGCTTGAGCCTGGGAGATGGAGGTTGCAGTGAGCCAAGATCTCACCACTGCACACCAGCCTGGCCAACAAAGTGAGACTCTGTCTCAAAAAAAAAAAAAAAAAAAAAAATCTGGTGGTAGTAAGAAACTGTTTCAATACTTAGATTTCATTGGGTCCATTTAAAAGATGAATGAAATAGTTTTTATTTTAAATGTCAATCATTACAATAGTTGGGAAATTACATCTCTTGCAACAATTTAAATGTATAGTGAAAATTTCATATATCATCTTAAAAATATGCAAGAGAATACACATAGTTTTAAAAAGTTTTTAAATTCATTTTTTTTAAGATGGAGTCTCACTCTGTTGCCCAGGCTGGAGTGCAGTGGTGTGATCTAGGCTCACTGCAACCTCTGCCTCCCGGGTTCATGCAATTTTTGTGCCTCAGCCTACCAAGTAGCTGAGATTACAGGCACCAGCTAATTTTTGTATTTTTAGTAGAGATGGGGTTTCACCATGTTGGCCAGGCTGATCTTGAACTCCTGACCTCAAGTGATCCAACCAGCTTAGCCTCCCGAAATGCTGGGATTACAGGTGTGAGCCACCGGGCCCAGCCAGAGAATACACATAGTTTTTTAACAACTTCTTTCAGGAGCTACATCAGTCAGGATCATCCAGGATATGCTGCAATTACAAACAATCTCGAAGTCTTAGTGGGTGTAGAAACAGAGATCTATTTCTTGGTCACACTTCCCTTCTATAGCAGGTTGGTGGTGGCTCTGAGTTGTGAGGCAGGTTTTGCTCTTGCTCCTGCTACGTGGCCCACCCAAGCACAAGAGGGCAGGGAGTAATCCTCTCCCATGGCACTGCAAGGTGAGGGGGAATTGGTGATGAGCAGCCTCCGTGAGCTACCAGTGAGCACAACGTTTAAAGACCACTGGACCAAATCATAAAGCTTTTTTCCATGGTGTAGAGAAATCCCACCAAGTCTCCTGGGAAGAGGGGGATGTGGTCCAGGAGGCCCCTTTCTCCTGCCCACAAAATGAGGGAAGAAGAAGAGGGGCAAAGAGAGCAGCGAGGGCCAGGGTGCATGTACTGTTGGCTTCATTTGCAAGTTGAAACTACAATGGGGGAATGCCTGATAGATCCAGATGGATTCAGGGAACCCCAGGGCCCCCAGGGTCTGCAGGTGCATGTGGAGAAGCCTTTCACAGCAGGGTGCAGGAATGACAGTAGGTAGGGCAGAAGGAAGCAGCAGAGAGATGAGCCCGAGGCAGGGCTCCCAGCAGCCCATGGCCTGGCTGAGGCCTGCAGAAGTTCCTACAGGCCCCATGGGAAGACATGGAGTGCTGAGGGGCCAGTGGAGGCCTGGGGTGAGGACACATGGGCTCCAAGATGTGTGGCCTCCATGATCACAGGCAAATGGCTGGAACCAGAGACTGCAGCAGTGGCCCACAGACCAAATGGGACCGGTCACCCCATGGCAGTCACTTGTCCAAGGCCAGACCAAACCAGACCCTCCACTGTGGAGGATGGCATGAACCTCAGGGCATCCCTGGGCCTTCTGTCCTTGCACATGTCACCTAAGTACCCCCCACCCCCACACGCATACATACATACACATACACATACACATACACATACACATACACATACATACACATACACATACACATACACATACATACACAGGGCTCATTTGCACAAGGAGGGGGATTCAATATCATTTCCATCCAAATGATAGAACATTCATCTGAAAGACATCGTCTTTCACAAGATTCTGTTTACACATCTCTAGGTTCAAAGTTGGACTTTAAAAGAAACTCAGAAGAGACTGAGATGCTAAGTTGAAGTCTTGGCACCCCCCACCCCCACAAGCACCCATGCCTTGGGAAGAAGATTCACTTGGACACATCTTTTCTGCTCATCTAAGCAGTGGTGTGAGCAAATCCCAGCCATCCTCCACGATGTGTCCCCTACTGAAACCTTCACACTGCCAGAGGGGGGTGCTGGTGTTCCGCCTCTTTCACAGATGAGGAAGAGAGGATTGGTGGGGTGAGTCGGTCTCACAAGCACATGCAGTTATTTGCAGAACTGGGGCTGTCCAGTTCCCAACCAGAGTGTCCCTCCACCAGGCTCACTGTCTCCCCAAGGCGCCAGTGTTTCTGGGTTGGTCTCACATAGATGGCTGTGGCCGAGCCTAAGCCAGAAAGGCAGGGTTTCCTCCAAGTCATGCTGGGAAAACACTACTTACAGACACGTATGCACTTCTGGGGCCCCCACGATGTGTATGTTGGTCTGCTTGATGGTGTCTCGCAGATCCTATAGACTCTGTTCAGTTTTCTTCAATTTTTTTTTTTTTTGAGAGGGAGTCTGCCTCTGTCACACAGGCTGGAGTGTAGTGGCACGATCTCAGCTCACTGCAACCTCCATCTCCTGCCTCAGCCTCCCGAGTAACTGGGACTACAGGCACACACCACCACACCTGGATAATTGTGTGTTTTTAGTAGAGACTGGGTTCCACCATGTTGGCCAGGCTGGTCTTGAACTCCTGACCTCAAGTGATCCACCCGCCTCAGCCTCCCAAAGTGTTGGGATTACAGGCATGAGCCACTGTGCCTGGCCTCTTCAATCTGTTTTCTTTCTTTGTTTTTTTGGAGACAGAGTCTCACTCTGTTACCCAGGCTGGAGTTCAGTGGCTGGATCTTGGCTCACTGTAACCTCCACCTCCCAGGTTCAAGCAATTCTTGTGCCTCATCTCTCAGAGTAGCTGGGACTATAGGTGTTCACCACCATGCCTGGATAATTTTTTTTTTTTTTTTGGAGATGGAGTCTTCCTCTGTCGCTCAGGCTAGAGTGCAGTGGCATGATCTCAGCTCACTGCAACCTCTGCCTCCTGGGTTCAAGCAATTTTCCTGTCTCAGCTTCCCAAGTAGCTGGGATTACAGGCACGTGCTACCATGCCCAGCTAATTTTTTAAATTTTAGTAGAGATGGGGTTTCGCCACATTAGCCAGGCTGGTCTTGAACTCCTGGCCTCAGGCGATCCACCAGCCTCAGCCTCCCAAAGTGCTGGGATTACAGGCGTGAACCACCATGCACAGCCAAGTTTTGTACTTTTAGTAGAAGACAGGGTTTCACCATATTGGCTAGGCTGGTCTCAAACTCCTGATCTCAGGTGATCGACCCATCTTGGCCTCCTAAAGTGCTGGGATTATGGGTGTGAGCCACCACACCCGGCCAGACTTTTTTTTTTTTTAAATTAATCTTTGTAGTCTGTCTCTGTGCCAATGATCAGCCAGAGCTATAAACTTAAGGTTTTCTCAAGTCTTCTCTGAACGTGCGTCTTCCCTGGGGCACACATGGTGACTCTCTAATTTCCCCAATATATGCAGTTGCTTTAGAATGTTCTGGTCTTCAATGTCTGCCTCCCAAGAGGGGAGAAAGAGAAATGTGAACCAGGTGGGGGCAGGCCCACAGTCCTTAAATCCTCTGGAAGTCACTTCAGTCAGAGGGGGAAGGGCTTGTAACATTGGGGGCAGGTGCAACCACAATAACCACCACCTCTTTGCACCTCAGTGATCAGAAGCAGCAATCAGTGAGCAGAGCACAGACCTCCCGTATTTGGAGGACAGGGTCCTTTTTGTTCACCCGGCTCCCACCCACCAGCTGTCTGCAAGCTGCTCCAGGAACATGTGCACAGCTGCCTGCCAGGGGCATGGGATGGGAGATGGGTGGCTGCTGCCTGCTGAGAGCTGAAATTGACCCAAATTAGCCACAGTTGGAAGCCGTCAATAGACTCCAGAGTGCCAAAATAGTCACATCAGACAGATTCTGCCGGCGCAATTGTTGTCTAGGTGAAGAGACAGATTTCTGGAACTTGCTACTCCACTGTCTTAGAATCTTCCTCTCCCCAATTTTTTTATTTTGAAAAATTTTGGCCAGTAAGGTTTTTTCAAAGGAAAGAAATTGGCTGGAAGATACTTATATACTAACATGTTTTGGGAGGAAGTTTTCTCCCTTCTGAGGCACATGCCTGTCTCTCAGTAAACACTGGCCTAAAGCAAGGTTGGGAAGTGACTTTCTCCCCGACAATATGTCAGGCTGGTGGGAAGTCTCCTCTCAGGAACGTCTGTGAGAAGAAGCAAGTGATTACAAGCTGGTGGATGCATAAGGAGCTCTTGATCTTGGGAGTGGGAAGGGGCCACTCCCATCTGCACATGGCCTCTTGCTGTTTCCCTGGCTTGTAGCATGGAGATTTATGGGCATGTAACTTTTACAGTCACTTTTTTTTTTTTTTGAAACAGAGTCTCGCTCTGTCAGCCAAGCTGGAGTGCAGTGGCACAATCTCAGCTCACTGCAACCTCCGCCTCCCGGGTTCAAGCGATTCTTGTGCCTCAGCCTCCTGACTAGCTGGGATTACAGGTGCACGCCACCACGCCAGTCTAATTTTTGTATTTTTAGTGGAGATGGGGTTTCGCCATGTTGGCTAGGCTGGTCTTGAACTCCTGACCTCAAGTGATCTGCCCGCCTTGGCCTCCCAAAGTGCTGGGATTACAGGTGTGACCCACCATGCCCTGCCATGATGTCACTTTTCTAGCAAGAGGTCTCCTTGTCTGTATTCAAGTGGGGGGAGGTAGAATGGGGAGCAACAGGTGTGACCAGAAAACAGTCTCCCCACCCAGCCCACCCATCTCTTTCCCCATCCCAGGAGGGTCCTCTGTGGCCTGTGGAGGGTGACAGTGCCCCACACTGGGAGCCCTTTTCCTCCCAGATCTGAGCCCCTTCTGAAGGGGTGGGATGATTTGAAGGGGAGCTGCTCTGGTATTTCAGGAGGTTGAAAAAGGAAGGTGGCTGTACGTCTTGTGCTGGATTTCCTGGGCCTGGAGAGGACAAGGGCCATGGAATCTACAGGGAGAGATGCTGGAGCCCACTCAGACCCTGCATTCTCGAAGCAGGAATCCCTTGGGTGTGTTTGTGCCCAGAAGGACTGGTGAAGCTGGCACTGTGTGTGGAACCATCCTCTTCTGGAAGCTTACGCTGCTAGTGGTGTCACTGCAAGCAGGAGGGCAGCCCTTAGTAGCAGAGCTTGGTGGCCCGAGCTCTGGTGGTCTGAGATGCGCTGGAGTTCTTACCTACACAACAGGAAATGTTCAGAGTGCTTTCCTTCCTCCCTGCTTCTCTCCCATCCTCCTTCCCTCCTTCCACAAAGCATTTCACACATACATCAAAGAAGAACGAAGAGAGCAATAAACTCTCTTGTACCTATCAGGCAGCTATCAGTTACCTACAGTGAGCATCTCAGGACCACTTGTTTCACCTTTTTTTTTTTTTTTTTTTGAGATGGAGTCTCACTCTGTCACCCAGGCTGGAGTGCAGTGGCATGATCTCAGTTCACTGCAACCTCCGCCTACCTGGTTCAAGCGATTCTCGTGCCTCAGCCTCTGGAGTAGCGGGGATTACAGGCACCCGCCACCACGCCTGGCTAATTTTTGCATTTTTAGTAGAGATGGGGTTTCACCATGTTGACCAGGCTGGTCTCGAACTCCTGACCTCAAGCGATACACCCACCTTGGCCTCCCAAAGTGCTGGGATTACAGGCATGAGCCACCGCACCCGGCCTGTTTCACCTTTTTTCTTTTTTTTAAGTTCTTTTTTTAGTTGTAGAGACGAGGTCTCACTATGTTGCTCAGGCTGGTCTCGAACTTCTGGGTTCAAGCAATCTGCCCGCTTTAGCCTCCCAAAGTGCTGGCATTACAGATATGAGTCACTGCGCCTGGCCTCTTTTTTCATCTTTATGCACTCACATCCACTCACACGATCAGATTATTTAAAAGCAAACCTCAGACATTATAGTATTTTACCCATAAATACTTTAGGCTGTATCTCTAAAGGCTAAAATTTTCTTCTTAAGAGATGAGGTCTCACTCTGTTGCCCAGGCTGGAGTGCGGTAGTGTGAGCTTGGCTCACTGCAGCCTCAAACTCCTGGGCTCAAGTGATCTCCCTGATTCAGCCTCCCAAGTAGCTAAGACTACAGGCACACACCAGCATGCCTGGCTAATTTTTTGTGTGTATATATGGTCTTGCTATGTTGCCCAGGCTGGTCTTGAACTCCTGGCCTCAAGCAGTCTTTCCACCTCAGCTGGGACTACAGGCGCATGTCACCAGGAGGATAAGAATTTTTTAAAAACCCAATTGCACTATCACACTTTGGCATCTTTGGCATCTTTTTTTTTTGAGACAGAGTCTCGCTCTGTTGGCCAAGCTGGAGTGCAGTGGCATGATCTCGGCTCACTGCAACCTCCGTCTCCTGGGCTCAAGTGATTCTCCTGCCTCAGCCTCCCTAGTAACTAGGATTACAGGCACTCGCAACCATGCCCGGCTAATTTTTGCATTTTTAGTAGAGATGGGATTTCACCATGTTGGCCTGGCTGGTTTCAAACTCCTGACCTCAGGTGATCCACCTGCCTAGGCCTCCCAAAGTGCTGGGATTACAGGCTTGAGCCAGTGCGCCCAGCCACTTTGGCATCTTTTAATGCCCAATCCTTATTTGCCTTTTCCTGATTTTCTCAAGAATACATTTTTATATAGCTGTACCCCCTTATCTGCGGGGTGTATGTTCCGAGATCCTGTGGATGCCGTGAAACCACAGATAATGCCGAGCCCTTGTATACTATATTTTTTCCTATACATACACACCTATAATAAAGTGTAATTATAAATGAGGCACAGTAAGAGTTTAACAACAATAATTGATAATGCACTGTAATAAAAGTTATGTGAATGTGGTCTATCTCCCTAAGACTATCTTATTGAATTGTACCACAGACAACTGCAATGGTGGAAAGTGGAACCACGGATCAAGCGGGATTGGTGGGTTTCAGTCAGAATCCACCTAAAGTCCACACGCTGCATTTGGTAGATGTGTCTTTTAGGTCTATTTTAATCTGCAGTGACCTTCTCTGGACTGTGCAAGGCTGGGAGAGTCTCGGGATGAAGGAGTGGTGCTGGAGATCTTCTCACATAATTTCAGAAGGCAAGAGGAGTTCCATGCTTTGCACCCTGAGCATAGATTGGCTCATGTGATTCTCACAATAACCCCATCAGGTAGTAATTACGCCCATTTTTCAGACGAAGAAACTAAGTCTGAGGGAGGCTTTCCAAATAAGCAGAAGTGAAGGTTTCACTTATTTCATCTCACGGACCACATCTATTTCTCTCCAGAATTTCTGGTGACCCTGGGACAAGCCACAGAGGTAGCTGCCACCTCCAACAACACAGGGCCCTCTTGCTGGTGGGTCCCATCTGGGGAACTTCTGAGATCCAAAGGGGGCTACGTATGATGATGTGCAGACGACAGGCACTGACAACTCGTGTGCTCCCCAGCTCTCCTGGAGCATCAACGAGAAAGCATTTTTATTTTTCATAACTGCTGCAGATACACACAGTCCTCTTTTGGTTTAGATTAGATTTTTTTCTCATGAGATTTTATTTTCCATATGTAAGAAGCATATATATTTATACGTGCATATATAAGGTGTGCAAAATAATGAAATGAGCCCTTATGCACCCAATAGGCTGCTTAAGAAATAGAATGCTGGCCGGGCACAGTGGCTCACTCCTGGAATCCCAGCACTTTGGGAGGCCAGGCAGGAGAATCGCTCGAGCCCACAGATATGAGACCAGCCTGGGCAACATAGTGAGATCCTGTCTCTACAAAAAATTTAAAAATTAAGCCGGGCGTGGTGGCTCACGCCTGTAATCCCAGCACTTTGGGAGGCTGAGGTGGGCGGATCACGAGGTTAGGAGATTGAGACCACCCTGGCTAACATGGTGAAACCCCGTCTCTACTAAAAATACAAAAAAAAAAAATTAGCCGGGTGTGGTGGCGGGCGTCTGTAGTCCTAGCTACTCGGGAGGCTGAGGCAGGAGAACGGCGTGAACCCGGGAGGCGGAGGTTGCAGTGAGCTGAGATCATGCCACTGCATTCCAGCCTGGGCGACTGAGCAAGACCCCGTCTCAAAAAAAAAAAAAAAATTAGCTGGGTATGTTGGTGCATGCCTGTGGTCCCAGCTACTCAGGAGGCTGAGGTGGGAGGATTGCTTGAGCCCAGGAGGTCAAGGCTGCAATGAGCTATGATCGCAACCTGGGCAATGGAGCAACACCTTCTCTGGTAAAAAAAAAAAAAAAAAAAAAAAAAAAAGAAGAAGAAGAAATAGAATGCTAAGTATATCTTTGAAGCCACTGTGAGCCCCTCCCAAATGCATCCTCTCCCTCCTTATCCCCCTAGTAATCTGCTCTCAGCTTTTATCGCTTCCTTGCTTTTCTTCATGTTTACCACATTTACGTATGCATGCACATATTGTTGAAGAATATATTGGTTAGTTTTGCTTGTTTTTGAACTTTATACAAAGGTATTATATATTTTTTGTATTCTGTGATTTGCTTGTTTTTTCCTCAACATTATGTTTGGAGGGTTCGTTCATGTTGATGTGCGCACATATGCAGTTTCATTGTGTATCACAATTTACTAATCCATTATCCCATTGGACACTTGGCTTGTTTCCTGTTTTTATTTTTTCTTAATTACAAACAAGGTTACCTTGGGCCCTCCTACCTGTCTGTGGAGCACATGAGTAAGAGTTTCTCTAGCATATATCGTTAAGAGTGAAACTGCTGAGATGAAAGGTATAAACATGGCTAACATGCACAGGAGACTTCCAGTTGCTGTATGTCTTCACCAACACAGGATACTGTTGACTTTTAATTTGTGTCAATCTGCTGGGGATACACTGGTATCTAATTATGTTTTTGAAATTTAATTTTATTTTTTTTTGTAAGGTCTCATTATGTTACCCAGGTTGGTCTCAAACTCCTGGGCTCAAGTGATCCTCCCAGCTCGGCCTCCCAAAGTGCTGGAATTACAGGCATGAGCCACCGCACCCGGCTTGCTTCTTATTCTTGTTATGATTGTTTCCTATAAAGAAAAGAGGGAAATCCTGTCTTTAATTCGCCATGTTCAAATCAGAAATGTACTCCCTTTTCATCTTAGCTTTACATTGCGTTCTCTTTCTTCCTCCTTTGATTAGTGTTGCTAACAAATGTGTCGATTTTATTAGTCTTTTCAAAGAAACCATTTTTGGCTCTTTTGATTCTCTACTGCTTCTTTTTCTTCTCTTATTTTGCTGCTCTTATCTGTGTCTTCCTTCCTTCGACTTCTGTTCCTTCTTTTCTTTATCTCTCTCCTTCTCTTTCCTTCCTTTCTCTCTCTCTCTCTCTCTCTCTTTCTTGTTTCTTCTTTCTTAACAGGGCCTCTGTCACCCAGGTTGGAGTGCAGTGGCATAACCATGGCTCACTGCAACCTCCACCTCCCAGGTTCAAGTGATTCTCATGCCTCGGCCTCCCGAGTAGCTGGAATTACAGGCGTGCACCACCATGCCCAGCTAATTTTTGTATTTTTAGTAGAGACAGGGTTTCTCCATGTAGGCCAGGCTGAACTTGAATTCTTGACTTCAAGTGATCCACCTGCCTTGACCTCCTAATTTTTATATTTTTTGTAGAGACGGGGTCTCACTTTTGTTGCCCAGGCTGGTCTTGAACTCTGGGTCTCCAGCAATCCTCCCTCTACGGCCTCCCAAAGAGATGGCATTACAGGCATGAGCCACCGTGCCCCAGCCAGCTCTCAGATATTTTGTCGAAATGAGATAATGCATCATTGAAAAGCCGTGATCGGTTCATGACAAAGAAACAGGAATACAGCAGGATCCTTTTGGACAGGAGGAAATGCTGAAGGATCTGATTAGTATTTCACCTGGGGACCTCCAAGAAAGGATCTTAAGGCATATACTTGGTTATTCTTTCCGCCTTGGACTTGTTCACCGTCGTTTAACCACACAGGGGAAGTGCAGTAGGCTTTTCTGCCAGTTCTGCATCCGCAGCGAGACTGTGGGCCCAGGTTCTCAGACACAAATCCTAACGGCAGATGGCAGTGTTGCACACAATGGAGCCAGCGTTAAGTACAAAAAGAATTCAAACAAGTGTTATAAATAAATATTTAGGCCAGGCGCGGTGGCTCACACCTGTAATCCCAGCACTTTGGGAGGCCAAGGTGGGTAAATCACCTGAGGTCAGGAGTTTGAGACCAGCCTGGCCAACATGGCAAAACTCCATCTCTACCAAAAATGCAAAAATTAGCCGGGTGTGGTGGTGGCAGACACCTGTAATCCCAGCTACTTGGGAGGCTGAAGTGGGAGAATCGCTTGAACCTAGGAGGCAGAGGTTGCAGTGAGCTGCGATTGTGCCACTGCACTCCAGCCTGGCCGACAGAACAAGACCCTGTCTCAAATGATAATAATAATAAATAAATAAATATTAAAAGTTTAGGCTGTCCTGATCACCACTTGAGGCAGCTGGGACATTAGCTGAGGAGCTTCAGACTGAACCACACATTATCCACATGCCAACTCTTCCCCAGGCCACCACCAGTCTCACTGTCAAGGCCGGTACACGGCTTCTCAACATGGAGAAGAAAAGCCACAAGGTGGCCGGGCACGGTGGCTCATGTCTGTAATCCCAGCACTTTGGGAGGCCGAGGCGGGCGGATTACCTGAGGTCAGGAGTTCGAGACCAGCCTGGCCAACATGGTGAGTCCCTGTCTCTACTAAAAATACAAAAATTAGCCGGGTGTGGTGGCACACGCCTGTAATCCCAGCTACTTGGGAGGCTGAGGCAGGAGAATCACTTGAGCCCAGGAGATGGAGGTTGCAGTGAGCCGAGATTGCGCCACTGCACTCCAGCTTGGCTGACAGAGCGAGACTCTGTCTCAAAAAAAAAAAGAGAAAAGCCACAAGGCTCTGAGTGAGTCCTAATGCTTGCCACTGCAATCAGACATGCTCTGTAATCACGCTAAAGACGGATGGCAATCTAGACAGTAAGAAGGAGCTGAAGGAGCTGGCTTGTGTATGACATCAGGCATTGCCCTGAAAGATAAGGAAGATAGTCTGGGTGCAGTGGTTCATTCCTATAATCCCAGCACTTTGGGAGGCCAAGGCAGGCAGATCATCTGAGGTCGGGAGTTTGAGACCAGCCTGACCAATATGGAGAAACCCTGTCTCTACTAAAAATACAAAATTAGCTGGGCATGGTGGCACATGCCTGTAATCCCAGCTACTCGGGAGTCTGAGGCAGCAGAATCACTTGAACCAGGGAGGCGGATGTTGCTGTGAACTGAGATCACGCCATTGCACTCCAGCCTGGGCAACAATAGTGAAAACTCTGTCAAAAAAAAAAAAAAAAAAAGAAAGAGAGAAAGATGCCAAATATCAAAATGTTATAAACTCTGTGTGATTCCATTTATATGACATTCTTGAAAAGACAAAACTGTAGTGATGGAGAACAGATCAGTGGTTGCTAGGAGGTGGGGGTGGGTGGGGGGTGACTGTGGAGGGCAGCATGAGGGAGATTTTGGGGTGATGGAACTGTGCTGTGTCCTGTTTGTGGTGGTGGTTGCATGAATCTATACACTTGTTAAGATGCATTGAACTGTAAACATCCCCTAAAAATTCATTTTACGCTATGATAATGTAGAAAATAGAGCAGAGAGACAGCAATAACCATTTTCCCAGAAATGGGATAATCTTTAAGCGAGAGCATTTTTTTATAACTATGAATCTGATCAATGAATTGTGTGTCCCTTTCTTTTTCCTGTTACTGGCCTTTATTTATCTTTAATATTCACAGCAATTCTTGGCCCGTTTCACTCCATGTGTTTATCAGCTCCTCTATTCACAGTGTTCCCAAAATGTGCTAGAATTTACCTCCTATATCTAAATGTCCTAGACACAGCATATAAGGACAGAAATTAAGTCAATGAGTGGACAGGAAAGAAGATTTAGTAAATGCAATATTTTGAGAAGTCATTTTAGAAACCCAAGCTGCTAAGCCAAATATTTTAATTCTCTAAACAACACGAGCATTTAGAGGACAGTATTTCTAAGTTTACTTCTACCAGGTAGCATGTCCTTTATCCTTTTAAGAGACCTTCTTTTTTTTTTTTGAGATGGAGTTTTACTCTGTCATCCAGGCTGTAGTGGCATGATCTTGGCTCACTGCAACCTCCGTGTCCCGGGTTCAAGCAATAAGAGACTTAAAATTATGTTGGGACATCACCATAAAGCACCTACCCAATTTTAGCAAATGGTAAGGGAGTTAAGGAAGCGTTCAAAAGGAAATCCAAATAGAATGATAAAAATAAAGCAGGTTCTAAGGTCAGGAGTTCAA
Organism: Homo sapiens; assembly: GCF_000001405.40. Taxonomy (NCBI): domain Eukaryota; kingdom Metazoa; phylum Chordata; class Mammalia; order Primates; family Hominidae; genus Homo; species Homo sapiens. The sequence continues at coordinate 178,059,869 of NC_000005.10, read as the reverse complement.
GACCAGGCTGGCCAACATGGTGAAACCCTGTCTCTACTGAAAATACAAAAATTAGCCGGGCCTGGTGGCGGGCGCCTGTAATCCCAGCTACTTGGGAGCCTTAGGCAGGAGAATCGCTTGAACCTGGGAGGCGGAGGTTGCAGTGAGCCAAGGTCACACCATTGCACTCCAGCCTGGGCAACAGAGCAAGACTCCGTCCCAAAGAAAAAAAAAAAAAGCAGGTTCAACAGGTCCATGCATATTTTGGTTAACATTCTAAAGTGGAAGCCCCAGCTGGCAGTCCAATAGGAGGATGAAGGAAATCTACCTGGTTGCTTCTCATATTTGATAGTCTCTTCTTATTCCTACTTTTGATTGCTTCTTTGATATGTTTATTTATTTAGTTATTTAGAGACAGAGTCTTGCTCTGCTGCCCAGGCTGGAGTGTAGTGGCGCGATCTTGGCTCGCTGCAACCTCTGCCTCTCAGGTTCAAGATGTTCTCCTGGCCAGGCGTGGTGGTTCACACCTTTAATCCCAACACTTTGGGAGGCCAAGGCAGGCGGATCATGAGGTCAGGAGTTAAAGACCAGCCTGGCCAACATGATGAAACCCTGTCTCTACTAAAGATACAAAGTTAGCTGGGAGTGGTGGCATGCACCCATAATCCCAGCTACTCGGGAGGCTGAGGCAGGAGAATTGCTTGAACCCGGGTGGTGGAGGTTGCAGTGAGCCAAGATCACGCCACTGCACTCCAGTCTGGGCGACAGGGCAAGATTCCATCTCAAAAAAAAAAAAAAAAAGGAAGACCAGGTCTTGGAGGGCTGCATTCCAAGCAAGGGTGATGGTGGACGCCTCCCTTCTGTAATTCTCAGTTCCTGCCTGGCCGACTTCATTCATTAGGGCACTTACTTGGCTCTTGTAGACAGTTGAGTTTGAGACATTTGGTGTAGAGAACGTTACCCCACAGTTGCCAGGAAGCAAATGCCAAGAGATCTCCAAAATATTTAATCACACCAATGGATTGTCTACAGTATCTTGTGGTCTTTCTGTTGCCTTTGAGAGAAGGTTATGGAATACCAGGTGGCAGGGCCGGGTGAGCTCAAAAGGTAAGGGGGGTTCTGACATAGTAAAGGGAACTGCTTTGTGGCACAGAATCAAAGATCCCAGATGCCTCCCCGCTAACTAACGTGGCAGTATTCCAAATACCCATTGACCAGAAGCATCTTATAGCAGGTGTAAGACCTGGGAGAATTCATTTTATTCCACCCCCAGGAAACAGATATGCCCTCTCTGGCAACATCACCAGGCCACACCTCTCATCCACAGAGCAGGTGCCTGTTTTCCCTGGGCCACTTGACATTGGAGATACAAAAGCCACAAGACAAAGCTCACGGCAGCGGGCTGAGAGCCCTGGAGGGCAAGTCAGCTGGCATCAGTTATGCAAGTTCTTTCTCTCTAGGCCTCAGAGTCCTTCCAGGTAATGTAGACTCTCTTGAGGCTTTTCCAGGTTTTCATCTTGTGATCTTTGGTCAGAAGGTGTCTTTCACCAGTTAACAGGTGAGTTAAGGTAGAATCCCCAGAACCCCTGGCTTCCCCCAGCCCCGCTTCATGGCCCCAAAAGAGACTCCAAAGGTACACTTTGAATCACCTGGACTAGGCGATTCTTACAGCTTCCCTTCCCAGTTGAACAATCCAGGGCCCCTTGAGAAACAGGAAAAGGTCTTGTCAAGCCAGAATCCCAACTAGATCTGAACTACCCAGGAAGTTGACATGGCCCTAATTCGACCCTCCAAGGGAGGGCAGCACAACAGTGTGGACCCAGCGGGGCGGTGGGCGTGAAGCTCTCCCCCGCTGCCTGCCCCTCACTGCAATTCCTCCTCGCTCACTCCCCATGCAGGCAGCTCCAGGACTTGGCTCATTGTCTGTCTCCCCCAAGGAGAACGCAGGCTCTTGAGGGAAGGGTGTTCTCTGTTACTGCAGGCTGTGTCCCCCACCACCTGTCCCGTGGCACCATCGGCATAGCTCACAGCAGGTGCTGAATAAACGCTCGCGAACTTTGGAAACTCCTTACCATGTGGGATGAGAAACAGTCATCCTATCCCAGAGACATGCATTTTCCTGTGTCACGGGACCATGCGGTGATACACAGAAGGCTGGCTTCTGCAGCAGCAGGGAATCAACCTAAATGCCCATAATAACTGACCGGATCAAGAAAACGTAGTTCATATGCTCCGTGGAATACTATGCGGCCATAAAAAAGAAGGAGATCACATCTTATTCAGAAACATGGACAGACCTGGAGACCACTATCCTAAGTGAACTAACTCAGGAACAGAAAAGCAAATACTGCACATTCTCACATATAAGTGGGAGCTAAATGACGAGAACACGTGGACACAAAGAAAGGAACAACAGACACTGGAGCCTACTTTAGGGTGGAGGGTGGGAGGAGGGAGAGGAGCAGAAGAAATAACTATTGGGGGCTGGGCTCAGTACCTGGGTGATGAAATAATCTGTATAATGAACCCCCATGACACAAGTTTACCTGTATGATAAACCTGTACACGCACCCCTGAACCTAAAATAAAAGTTAAAAAAAAAAGGTTTTCCAATGCTAAGGAAAAGCTTACTTTTTCATTTTCCTCCAGCTGTTAACTCATGGGGAGGCCCTCTTTCTCTTGGAGAGCACAGAGGAAAATTAAGGGCTTCCTAGCAACAAAGCAGTTTGTCAGAAAGTCATGAGTGAGCATGGCAGGGCTGTGTGGGAAGTGTGTGTTGGACAATACGACACACTGGCTTCTCACTGCTGCTGCCTCTGACCAATAATACATGTTTTCAGAAGGCCTTGTTTTCATGTACACAATGGACTATAATTGTAGGGAAAAGAAAGAGAGATCAGACTGTTACTGTGTCTATGTAGAAAGGGAAGACATAAGAAACTCCATGTTAACCCGTACCCTGAACAATTGCTTTGCCCTGTGATGCTGCTAATCTGTAACTTTGCCTCAACCTTGAGCTCACAGAAACATGTGTTGTATGGAATCAAGGTTAAAGGGATCTAGGGCTATGCAGGATGTGCCTTGTTAACAACATGTTTCCAAGCAGTATGCTTGGTAAGAGTTATCGCCATTCTCCAGTCTCAATAAACCAGGGGCACAATGCACTGCGGAAAGCCACAGGGAACTCTGCCCTGGGAAGCCGGGTATTGTCCAAGGTTTCTCCCTATGTGAAAATCTGAAATATGGCCTCATGGGATGGGAAAGACCTGACCGTCCCCCAGCCCGACATCTGTGGAGGGTCTGTGCTGAGGAGGATTAGTAAAAGAGGAAAGCCTCTTGCAGTTGAGATAGAGGAAGGCCACTGTCTCCTGCCTGCCCCTGGGAACTGAATGTCTCGGTATAAAACCTGATTGTACATTTGTTCAGTTTTGAGATAGGAGAAAAACCGCCCTGTGGCGGGAGGTGAGACATGTTGGCAGCAATGCTGCTTTATTATTCTTTACTCCACTGAGATGTTTGGGTGGAGAGGAACATAAATCTGGCCTACGTGCACATCCAGGCATAGTACCGTCCCTTGAACTTATTTGTGACACAGATTCCTTTGCTCACATGTTTTTTTTTTTTAAGGCTTGTTTTATTTTCATGGCTGATCTATGTAATCACAGAGGCCAGTATGTACAGACAAAGGGGGAGCTTTTATTTCTTGGTCTCTTCCTCCTTGGATAAAGTCTTGATGAACTCCTCCTTCTTGGCCTGGAGGCGCTCTTCAGGGCACTTGCCTGCTTCCTTGGTCTTAGACCTGCGGGCCTCAGCCTGGTCAGCCAGGAGCTTCTTGCGGGCCTTGTCTGCCTTCAGCTTGTGGATGTGTTCCATGAGAATCCGCTTGTCTTTGAACACATTCCCCTTCACCTTCAGGTACAGGCTGTGATACGTGTGGCGATCGATCTTCTTAGATTCACGGTATCTTCTGAGCAGCCGGCGCAAAATCGTCATTCTCCTCATCCATGTGACCTTCTCTGGCATTCGGGCATTGGCTGTACCCTTCTGCTCACCTATGGCCACGTGCCTGCCCTTCCGGCGGGCCAAGGTGTTTTTCCGGCATCGAGCCCGGGAATGGACCGTCACAGGCTTGCGGATGATCAGCCCGTCTTTGATGAGCTTCCGGATCTGCTGACGGGAGTTGGCATTGGCGATTTCATTGGTCTCACTGGGGTCTAACCAGACCTTCTTCTTGCCACAGCGGAGGACACTAGAGGCGAGCCTCTTCTGAGGCCCGAGCATGCTCATGGCTGCGGCCGCAGCAGCGAAAGGAAAGGCTCACAGGTTTTCTTGCTGACACCCTGCTCTCCTACCGCATTCCTCTTGCTGAGACACTGAAAATGGTAATCAATAAACTGAGGGAACTCAGAGGCCGGTGCCAGTGCTGGTCCTCCGTATGCTGAGTGCCGGTCTCCTGGGCCCGCTGTTCTTTCTCTGTACTTTGTCTCCGTGTCTTATTTCTTTTCTCAGTCTCTCATCCCACCTGACAAGATATACCCACAGGTATGGATGGGCAGGCTACCCCTTCATATAATTACTGCAAAGGTGCAGTGAGACCTATTTTTTTTTTTTTTTTTTTTGAGACAGAGTCTCACTCTGTCACCCAGGCTGGAGTGCAGTGGTGCGATCTCAGCTCACTGCAAGCTCCACCTCCCGGGTTCACGCCATTCTCCTGCCTCAGCCTCCCGAGTACCTGGGACTACAGGAGCCCACAACCATGCCTGGCTAATTTTTTGTATTTTTAGTAGAGACGGGGTTTCACCGTGGTCTCGATCTCCTGACCTCGTGATCTGCCCACCTCAGCCTCCCAAAGTGCTGGGATTACAGGTGTGAGCCACCACGCTCGGCCTTTTTTGTATTTTTAATAGAAACAGGGTTTCACCGTGTTAGCCAGGATGGTCTTGATCTCCTGACCTCGTGATCCACCTGCCTCGGCCTCCCAAAGTGCTGGGATGACAGGCGTGAGCCGCCATGCGTGGCCCAGATTAAATACTTCTTTAGAAGATGGACTAGAAATGGGTCATCAGAAATTGTTTTTACTTACATATGAAGAATTCTAATCTTCAAAAAATTTTAGAACTCAGTCAGAACTTGAGAACTTCTTTCAGTAGGTGCTGTGATTCAATAACCAGAATTCTGCTTTACTTTATAGTTACACAAGTATTTCTGTCATTTTCCTACTAAATTACATGAAGGGGGTTGTCTGCTTATGAGCTGCACCACCGAGCAGCATGCCTATCAGTGAGAAGGTGCCTGACAATTCTCAGTTGAAATGTCCTGACGAAGTTCCCCCAGAAATTTGTGAGTACTCAACTGTATTAAAACTAAATATACTGTTTTTCATGACAAATAGTCACTATTTAGTAAAATGATTACTGTGCTATAATAGAACAAGTCCTTAGCCCAAAATTAAATGGCCACAGATTGACATATGCCTAAAGCTTATCAACTATCACGTATCACATTTTAACAAAAATCAAGAACACTAATAGATGATCTCTTCTTCTTTTTCTTTTGTGAAACAGGGTCTTGCTCTGTCACCCAGGCTGGAGTGCAGTGGTGCAATCATGGTTCACTGCAGTCTTCACCTCCTGGGTCCAAATGATCCTCCAACCTCAGCCTCCCAGGTAGCTGGGGCCACAGTCGCATGCCACCATTCCCGGTTAGCGTGCGCGTGTGTGTGTGTGTGTGCGTGCGCAGAGTCTCCCTATGATGTCTAGGCTGGTCTCAAACTCCTGGGCTCAAGCAATTCTCCCTCTTTGGCCTCCCAAAATGCTAGGATTACAGGCATGAGCTAAATCGTACCAAAGAAATTATATTTTAAAAGTAAAGTCAAAGGTAGAATTTAAGAACAAAGGAATTCTATTTCTATACTTACTAGTCCCAGGTAGACAAACAACACGGCCTTCCTCAGCCTCTACCCGAGTCGTTTCAGAAGAGTGTGAGCCATGAGAAATCAGAGCTGTTATTTTCTGGTTGAAACTGACACTTTAGGCTACTGTTTTCATTTGCCTGTTGAAAGAATAACTTAGCTGTATTAATCATTTAAATTAAAATTAAACATTTTGAAGGGAAAACATGGGGAGTAGACAACATCTACCTTACTCAAGGAGGCAGGTAATCAATGTAAAAGGAATGAGAAAAATCACCATTGGAACCACGGGTGTAATCAATGTTTCCAAGAGGCTTCAGCAATGACGCTGAAACCAGCTCGTGAAGGTTGCCGGGGAATAAGATGTTCACAGTGCTTTGATGTCTCATCCCACAGATGACTAATAACAAAAGGGAAAAGCTACCCTCACAAGGAGATGTCCAGTTGACACTACCTCAACCAAAATTATTAAACATAGCATCAGCAATCGTGGGACAAACAGACGCAAACATCTCCTGGTGTGAGGCGGTAAGTACGCAACACTGCCTAATCTGAATTAGGCATTATTCCCTGTTTAATCTGGATCCACTCATGAGAACACTGTTTAATCTGTATTCTTGCCAAAATGCTCAATCTATTCTAGTCAGGAGAAGAAAAAAGCAACCAGATATATCTAGATTATGGGTCACTCTACAAAACAAAGAGCCTAGATTTTTCAAAATGTTTCATGTATTGAAAGAACTACTCCAAAGTAAAAGAATAGAGAGACGTGACAACCAAAGGCAAGGTTAATCTTTGATTAAACTGTGGATCTAAAACAAAAATAAAGAACATTTTGGAGACAATTAGGTAAATCTGAATATGGGCTGTACATCAAATTACTGTATTATAGTTAGATGGTAGAACTGTAATTACATAGAAATATGTCATTATTCACAAGAGATAAACGCTGAAGTGTTGGGGTAAAACATCATGCTCTTTTCAACTTACTTTCAAATGATTCAGAGAAGAAAGTACTTATGGAAAGAGAAAGAAACTGCAAAAGGTGGCAAATGCTAGCCACTGGTTGATCTGAATGAAGAATATGTAGATGTCCATTGTTTTGCCTTTTAATTTTCTGTAGGCAAGGGAAAGATAGGAAGGAGGGAAGGTGCAGGCATTTCTTATCAATTCATACCTGTAAAAAACAGAGTTAAAAGAAAACCAAAGGCTTAAAATTCATGTAAACATCCAGTGAGATCAACAGTGATTTTCTGTCAAATTTCTGAAAAGCCATTAAGACTGTAACATACCTGACTAGGATCACCTGTAGGTAACTTAAAGTACTTTTTCTGGAGGTTCCAGTCCTTCTACTTCATATGTTTTATTCCATCATTCGTGGAATTGCCAGTTGTTCAAAATAAACCTCTAAATGATCATCGTAAGACATTTCATCATCAATATCATCCTTTAATAAAATTAAGAAAAAATAAAACAGGCTCTAAGGTAGTGACTGAACAATAAATAATTTGTAATAAAAAAGACTAAGACATAAATGAGTCAATAAAATTAAGAAAAAAATAAAGCAGGCCTTAAAGTAGTGACTAAACAATTTGTAATCAAAAATACCCATCAGACATAAATGAGTCAATAAAGTATACAATTTTTTTTTTGAGATAGAGTCTTGTTCTATTATCCAGACTGAATGCAGTGGTGTGATCTCAGCTCACTGCAATCTTCACCTCCCAGATTCAAGCCATCCTCCCACCTCAGCCTCCCGAGTAACTGGGACTACACACGTGCACCACCTCGCCTGGATAATTTTTGTATTTTTTTTTGTAGAAATGGGGTTGTCCCATGTTGTCCAGGCTGGTCTTAAACTCCTGGACTCAAGCATTCCACCCACCTTGGCCTACCAAAGTGCTGGGATTACAGGTGTGAGCCACCTCGCCTGGCCTGTTTTTATACTTGACATGAGAAAACTGTTATAACTTCAGTCAATTATAAGTCATTATAAAAAAATATTTAACCTCTTTGAGAGGACAGGACAGAAAGATCCTGACACGTTATCAAAGCTTAGGGTAGGATAAATGTGCCATCACAAATGAATGGGGAAGAGAGCAGGCCCTTCAGAAAATGGTGTGGCAAATGGTTACCTCTATCAAAAAAGTACAGACGAGCCTATCATAAGAGAAGTAAAAGGAAGAAAGGGAGGAGAGAGAGAGAAAGAGAGAAAAAGGGAGGGAGGACACTGCAGAAGGCTTCAATGTTGTAACACCCAGCTCAGCAAGGATAAGATAAACCAAGAGCTCTCAGTCATGGTCTAAGCTGGCACTGGCTTTTATTTATTTATTTTTTTTTCGAGGTGGAGTCTCACTCTGTCACCTAGGCTGGAGTGCAGTGGCGTGATCTCGGCTCACTGCAAGCTCCACCTCCTGGGTTCACACCATTCTCCTGCCTCAGCCTCCTGAGTAGCTGGGACCACAGGCACCTGCCACCACATCGGGCTAACTTTTTGTATTTTTAGTAGAGACGGGGTTTCACCGTGTTAGCCAGGATGGTCTCAATCTCCTGACCTCGTGATCCGCCCGCCTCGGCCTCCCAAAGTGCTGGGATTACAGGCGTGAGCCAGTGCGCCCGGCCTACCTTTTTAGAGGTTAATTTTGCAATTAACATTAAGAGTCTCAAAAACACTCATCACCTTTGACTTAGCCATTTCACCTCCAATAATCTAGCATACTAAAACACTCTAAGATCAGATACATTTAGGTCAATAATTCTTTATCCACCAATTACACAATCCAAAAAAATTTTAAAAACTCTTTTGGCAGCACAAGCTGTCCTCAATAAATGTGATACTATTTGTAGTTTCTATTTATACCACTCAGCTGGCCTTCAAAGCCATGCATACTTTTAATGTAAGTAGCCCCAGCCTACTTCTCTGGGGTTATTTACCAACGCAGCCTCCCACAGATGCTGTAAACCTGACACAGAAAGCCCCTGGCCGTTCCCCAAACACTGCCCACATGCCTCCCAGCAGCGCCTTTGCTGATACTGTTTCTGCTTCCTGACACGCCCTCCTTCTCGCACGTCTAAGGCCTGGCACGGGCCCCATCTCTTTTCGTAAAGCTTCAGCCATACCTGCCTCAGAGGTAAATTTCTGACCCCCATGATTCCCAGGCACATTTTGGTGCTGCTGGTTGTACACAACACAATCTGAAATGTGGTTCTGCATCTCTTCTTTGCACCTGGCTGAGGTCTCAGAGAGCAGAGGCTAAATATTTCACGGCTCCCTCAATTTCTAAACACAGTGCTGTATATTGAGTGGCACCTCTAGGTGACTACTTTGTACCCTAAATGTTAAGCTGAGGGATGAGTGAAACAATATCAGGATTAATAAATAAATACATTCTTGAATTCCATCACTTAATAGAAGTGGCCATTTGAATGCTGGCAGGTAGGAAGAAAAGAGGAGGACAAAGAACCCCAAAAGTTGGCATCATAACTACTGCCACAAGAAAGGAGAATCAAGCAGATTGGTAAGGTAAAGACCAGGGAAACACAGGTCACTGCAGGACTGAAGAATCTTCCAAGCTTGTCAGTAATGTAAGTTTCTCATTTTCCAATAAACTAGTGTGGCATAGGTCACTGTTTAGAGTCTTGTCTTCAAAATGTTTTCCAGCATCAAGGAAAACAATCTACAAGAAACAAAATGGTGAGAAAAAGCAGCACACTCACGTCTCTGAAGAGCACAGCATAAGGCTACAAAAAGGACCAAGCACCTTCTCAACCTGCAATGTGCTCAGTGTCTGTAAATCACAAGTTAGGTGATGAAGGGCTGGTAGTTTCCCATGAATTAATAACTTTCCTTCTTGCCCCCGTGTTATCTCCCTCACCTGACCCCCGCCAATAAAACATCCTTAAAAGGCTCCTCTCAAATTCCTTGCAAATATTAGGCTCCTCTCAAATTGCTTGCACATGCTTGGAGAAGCTCACAGTGGTTAGTACACTCATACACAACTGAACTTGAGCGACACAAAGCTTACAAGACAGCAAAGACAACAGCAAAGCTGGGCCCAGCAGCCATCACCTAAAGAACTCTTCACTCGTTACATTGGAGCAGGTGATCTCTCTGGAACCAGGAACCACAGAACACTGAAGGACACGGAGCTGGTGGCTAAGGATTCAAGGCCTGCAGTGAAAATGTAACATTTCCCTCCAAGTGCTTATTTCTGCTATAATCTGGTTTAGTTTTGCAATGAACAACTAGATTTCTAACTGATATTCACGTTAATAAACTTTTCTTTTTTAAGACAGGGTCTTGCTCTGTCACCCAGGCTGGAGTGCAGTGGTGCAGTCATGGCTTACTGGAGGCTCAACCTCCTAGGCTCAACCAGTCCTCCTGCCTCAGCCTCCCAAGTAGCTGGGGCTACAGATGGATGCTACCATGCCCAGCTAATTAAAGGATTTTTTTTTTTTGTAGGGATGAGGTCTCACTATGTTGCCCAGGCTGGTCTTAAACTCCTGGGATCAAGCAATCGTCCTGCTTTGGTCTCCCAAACTGCTGAGATTACAGGTGGTAGCCACTGCACCAGGCCATTAACATTTATATATGTAAAATACATACAGAATGTAAATCACCACAAAACATAAAAATACTCCATATTGATGTAACTTACCATACTATGGATTTGTTTTAAAAATGAGGTAAAAGTCATTAAGAAAATGAAAGCACAAAAGTCTATCAAAATTACAAAAACTTAAAACTGAGTAAACAAAACTTCAGAAAGAATGAAAACAATTGGAAAATAACTTCAAGAAAAAAATGTAAAATGGAAACAATACAAGAACAATTTGTGCCCTCTGAAAAACAGAGGTTAAAGTCAGAATTTTTTTGTTCTTTTTTTTTTTTTGAGACAAAGTCTCACTCTGTAGCCAGGTGCTGGGGTGCAGTGGCATGATCTCGGCTCACCGCAACCTCCGCCTCCTGAGTTCAAGTGATTCTCCTGCCTCAGCCTCCCAAATAGCTGGGACTACAAGAGTGCGCCACCACGCCTAGCTAATTTTTGTATTTTTAGTAGAGACGGGGTTTCACCTTGTTGGCCAGGCTGGTCTTGAACTCCTGACCTCAGGTGATCCACCCGCCTCGGCCTCCCAAAGTGCTGGGATTACAGGCATAAGCCACCACGCCCAGCCAGGAAAGTATTTAAAAACAAATTAAGCAAAGATTATAAAAGTTTTTGGAGTAACACATTTCCCGAAATGATCACGATCCACATCAAGTCTGAGCCATGTTGACATCCCCACGTCGGGGCCCTTCCTGGTGGTCGAGGAATCTGCAACACAGACAGAGGTGCAAGGGTCACTAGAGAGGCACAGAGGTGGAGGGAGGAGGGGCTCCCTGGGATGGGTGTGCAGGTCTCAGAGACCTCCTTGGGCCCTGGAAGGTGACCTGGGGCCCCTGAGCTCCCCACAATCAGGTCTACTCAGATGTCAAGGCACTGAGCCCTGTGTGCTGCTCTCTGCTGAGGGGTTATCTGTCCACAGAGAGTGTGAGTGTCATGGAGGAAGAATGAACCTGGGCGCTCACACGGGCACCTTCAGGGGGCTGGTTCCCCGGAGGGTAAAACAGACACACACAAACGGAATTTCAAGCATACCAGGATCAACAGGCAGAGTCCCATGCCCCTGGGCCCTAAGAGGAGCAGGAGGTCTCATGACACAGGGTGGGGGTGGTGACCCTGCCTTGCCACCCAGATCCTCTGTGCCATCCAGACGGAAGAGCTGCACGTTGAATATGCATAGCTTCCTGGAGAAGAGCTGCACGTTGAACATGCATAGCTTCCTGGAGAAGAGCTGCACGTTGAACATGCATAGCTTCCTGGAGAAGAGCTGCACGTTGAACATGCATAGCTTCCTGGAGCACGTCATTGTTATTGCCTAATAAGACCTGGTCTTTCTAGCACCCCCACCGGACCTGTCTTTGCTTTGTAATTTTTAAAATTATGCTTTGGTAAGACACAAATTTCTCATGTTTGTATATTCTAGCATAAAAGGGTTACAGAAGACATACATTTGAAAGAGTGAAAAACAGTGTATATGTACACACACACACACACACATTCATATGTGTACCTTATTTCAAGATTGGAAAATATATTTAAAAAACAGAGGCTCGCTAAATCATGTCCTCAAACCCTCCCAAGTGAGCATGGCCCTGAAATGTCTTCAGGGGTTTGTTTTGTTGGCATTTGGCCCAAGCCAGTGCCCTCTACATACAGAAGCCTCCAACCTCATCTTGAAAAATGGGGCCATGAGGTCACCCCAGGCCCCCACAGAGGCTGAAGGACCCCTGGAACTGGAGGCCCCCAGACCCCCCAGAGGCTGAAGGACTCCTGGGACTGGACACATTTCAGTGCTTCTTGGATCCTGCCGTGTCCCCTGCTTGACACCAGGACCTACTGAGGGCCTGCTGGCCCGCAATACTGGGTCGGGTGGGCTGCTCGCTTGTGTGACAAGGAGCCTGGGGGTGCCTCCATCCCTCTCACACCTTTCCCAGGAGGCCTGAACCAGGGGGATTCATGTCAACCCTAGTGTCTCCTCAGGATGAACTAGTGATGCTCCCTGTTGTCCTCAAGGGGCTGGGAGGACAGAGCTAGGTCCCCCCAAATGAGATGTTGGTGAGCTGAAGAGTTACTGCAGACAACACAGTGCAAAGCCCTTGGAGTCCTGCACATGGGGGTGCGACCAGCACCTCAGTGTCTCCCTCACTAAGCAGCCTGTGGAGGGCTCAGCCCAGCAGGCTCGGGCTGCTATGGAGTGGGTGTCTGTTTCCTGGAGCATGTTCTCAGGGCATCCTTCACTTACCTTCAGAGGTCTCTAAAATATATTAAAAATGTCCCAACATTTCAGGACATTCCACCGGCTTTTCTTGCTGGGCTTCCTGGTTTTCTTCTTGGGCTTTCTGGTTTTCCTGATGGGACAACAAGAAAGTGAGCGTAGCCAAGAAGAACATGGGCACGTGCCTGCTTCCCTCATCATTCTGCGCACTGCACACTCACACTTCCTCTTCCACTTTGGTCTTTTCTGTTGCTTCTTCTGCAGGTGCAGAGGAAGGACTTGCTGACATCTGTGAGGAAGAGAACAATTGTGCATGTCCAGAGACGCCAGTGCAGGAAAAGACCTATCTGTGAAGGCGGTGCCCAGAGCAGACCCAGATGTCACTGGGGGTCCCTCCAGCAGGGTGGGGTCCAGCTCTTCTGACCCCAGCCCAGCCCCTTCCCCTGGACCCTGTAGGGTTGTTCAGCAAGATTCAAAGCTGCAACCTGGGGGCCAGTAAACAGGGCAATGCCAAGGCAGTGGGCAGGAGGGCTGGAGAGGGATTTTATCGACACTGAAGACCCGAGGACCTCAACTGTGGGATGAGACCAGGTCCTTCAGGAGAACAATCACAAGAGAGGGAAAGAGGAAAAGGACTAGAGCTAAAAAAGGAGCTCATGAGTCAGAAAGAGGATAAAAGACAGCCAGCATATAAGAGGAGATCAATTACCTGCTGGTGGCTGCCTGTAATGGTGGAGTCTTCCAATTCTGTGAAGCAAGCATCAGAGTGTCCGGAGGAGCAGCGGTGATGGGGTGGCCATAAGAAGGAAAGGGGAGAGTTAGAGTCGAGAGAACCACTCAGACCCTGCTGTCCTGGGGCTGTGGAGCCAACCCCAGAGCCTCTGATGTGCTCATTTCTGGAGCCTTCTCCACAGCCTGTATCATTTCCTCTGTGCTATGAGGGAGGGACCTCTGACTTCCCACGTACTTTCCCAGCCCTCACATTCCATAACTGAGCCAAGGGAGGGGAAGCCGTGTCATTCTGTTCCTCCAAGAGGCAGCGCCCTCTTCACAACGTTGTGCGTGACATGGAGTTCCCTCCCTTCTCCTCCTGTAGGGCCTGTTTCTGTTCCCGCATGAATCCCATTTCCTTTCACCCTGTGGACCTCCACCAGTCCTACTGTTCTCCAAAATAAGAACACTGGAAAGAAGGTCAAGGCTGCACTGCCAGGGCCTCCAATCAACCCACGGATCGCACCCTGGGTCAGCAGCACCTCCCACAGGCCTGGGGTTGTGTTGGGGCCTGCGGGAGGTGATGATGGCCGATGTCACTTATACAGTGACTGTTCTATGCCTGGAGTGACCTTAGAGACTTGGAAAATATTCAGCCCTCAAAAGAATCCCAGCAGCTTCTGAATATTTGGAAACAATGGAACAGAATTCAAGGTAAAGCCCCTTGTCCCAGTTGCCTTAATCTGCAGGTGAGGCCAGCAGTTGCCAGCACAGAAATGAGGGGACCCTCCCAGGGTTTGCCTGAGCTGTGGGAAGACTAGGAGGGAAGGTACCTGGAAGACCTGACACAGAGAACAATCTGGGCCTGACTGGAGTGTGGGGAGAAGGACAAGGCTGCTGAGCCAGAGAGGAGGGTGTGACAAGACAAGTGACCACTGTGCCAGCTGCCCAGAGGCTCTGCCCTGGGCCCAGTGGATTCCAGGGACCAGGCTACAGGGAGGGTGAGAGCCACTGCCTACAGCAACACAGCAGCCCCTCCACACATATCCCTTAGGATTCCTGCCAGCCACAGAGGGCCCTGAGCAACAGCTGGACTTGGGCCTCTCCAGTGAAAGCCAATTTAGGTTTCATTCAAAGCACAGGGATTTGGGATTGGATGGGATTGGGTGAAGAGTGGAGGCCAAAACTGTGCTCAATCATGTGTTCTGCCCTCAGGACTCCAGGATGCTGGGGCACACGTAGGAATCCCAGAGGAAGGATTCCCTGTGTCATCCGACCCAGGGAGCACCCTTAGAGCAGGAGCAGACAGTGAGGACAGGACAGGAAGGTGCTGTTGCAGGTCCCGAGAGTGTAGAGAAAGACAGTGGGCTCCTTTCACCTCCTGGCACACGTATGAAGGACTTTGTCTTCAGGATCACGTAGCGCCTGTGTGGGGCTGTGTCCCACCCCACACTCAACTTTACACCTGCATACTCATCTTGTGATCTCTATTCACAAAAAAATGCTACCTCATCAAAACCCAGGGCTCTGGTGCTTGCTGTGGCAAAGGCAGGAATGATCTGGTCTTCTGCAAAATGTAATCTTTAGACACCAGAGCAAGAAATGATGGTGACATACACAACTCGCACAAAGCCCATGAGAACAAAACTCTTAGGACTTTCTCATTAAGATACAAAAAATCCCAAGTCAGACTTCTACACCTGTTTCATATTTAGTCACTTCACTGATCCCATCCTAGGCTCCAAAACAAGTGTAACCCAATTCCCAAGAACCCTGTCTCACTGGTCAACCCTGGAGTGTTGGTCCCTACCTGACCAGTCTATTTCCTCCTGGATGGATCCAGAGGTGGTGCCCATGAGCCCATGTACAGAGACACAAACATTAGCACTACTGCTCTGTCCACTGTGATTCTCCCTGGGCTCTGTGAACTCAGGGGCCTTTATGAAGGCACTGCTCACAGTTGTGAGCCTTCAGGTAAGACAGAGGACCTGAAATAATCCCTTTCAACTGTTCACCGACACTGGCTCATAGCATCTCTTACCTCCAATCTGGGAACCTGAGATTCCAGCCTTGATGCAAATGCACTGAGTTAGGTGGGTGCAGAGAACAGAACCTGGGCCAGACTCACAGCAGCTGCTTCCCAGGTGATTCTGGGAGAATGGAGATGCTCTCTTAAGAGTAGACTTTTGGCAACTGGGAACTTCTAGCATGGCTCTTGTGAGGAGGTTATGAATTTTTTCATTTATTTTAACATGAATGGGCACATATGCCACTGAGGACCATACGGGAATGCACAGGTCTAAACCCAAAGATGAGGAAGATGTGACTCTCCCCCCTGGTGATTCCTGGCAGAGTGGTTTGCTGCTGTGATCTGATCATTCATGGATGGGTACTTCAGGGGCACAGGAACAAGCTCCAGGCCCCCTGTGAAGTGCAGGGATGCCACAACAAAAATAAAAAAGCCTGGTCCAGCAAAGGAGGACTCGTAAACAGAAAAACAGCCTCTTCTGCAAGGAGAAAAGCTGAACCAAAGTAGCCAGGGTAGAGATGAGGGGGACACTTCATTGACTTCAGGAACCCACCCTATTCTCCTGTGACCTTGGATCAGAATCCACTCAGGTTTCTAAATTACCATGAGAAACAACAGATTGAAGGAGATGAGCAGGAAGCCTTTTCACACTGGTGCTGGATCTCAGCAAAGGGTTTGGAAGCATTGGAACATTACTGGGGCCCAAGATGGGCTGCCCAGGGCTAAGCTCTGGGATGAGAAGGAACGAGGAGGACATAGTCCTTCCCCTCCGTGACCAGCCATGGCCAGGATTCGTCTACACATGAGTAAAGCAAAACAGAGTTTAGGACTAACAATTCCAAGACTATCTCAGAGAAAAAGGCAAAGTGATGTCTTATACATCACACAGGAGAGTTGCAAGGACCACCTGGACTCTGGAGCAGCCCCTCTCCCTTTGCTGAGTTCACCTTGCTCTGAGGCAGGGTCCGTTCTCACCTCCCCTGCAACTAGTGTGGGGCAGGTATCCTGCCTGATGATTATTTCATTAAATACAATAGAATATGCCACTGATTACTGTCTGCATTTGAAAAGGAGCTGAGGAATGATTTCACCATTCTAGACCAAAAGCCTGAGGAGTGTGTGTGTTTTACATTAATGGTCACACTAAAGCCCACTGTGCAATGTACCTACTCAAACAAACCCTGGGATAGCTGACCATTGAGACCATCTGATAACGATAGTGTTTGGGATCTGAATAGCTTTTCATTCTCCCACATGCACACAGAATTGCTAGAATAACTTGGCCTAGCAAGAAATTATACCAGGGCTTTGTGACAAATTCAGTGTAGTAGCTCATGCCATTAACCTTCCACTCATCCCCGAGTTCACATGTGCCTCTTCCACTTAAAAGACCAAGAGCTTGGGAAATTCAACTCTGCAGCATGTCCATCTGAGGACTGGGGATATTAAACTTATCTTCAGGTACAGCTGTGGTGGAGGATGAATGGGTTGATTTATGCAAACTGTGCAGTGGTGATGGAATTTTTCTTGGACATTGATCCTCGTGTTGTGCTTTGAACATGGGAGTATGTTTTCTGGGGAAATGCACACACACTCGCAAAGACATCCATAATCATTCCATATAGACTCTCTCCTCTGTCCCTCCCAACTCTGATGTACCACCCCACCTTACATGACACTGCTGCTTCCAGGGATGGCAGTAGCATGGTTAGAGTACTGGACTCTTAGTTTGTTGGGGTGTTTTTTTTTTTTTTTTTTTGAGACGGAGTTTCGCTCGTTGCCCAGGCTGGAGTGCAATGGCACAACCTTGGCTCACTGCAACCACTACCACCTGGGTTCAAGTGATTCTCCTGCCTCGGCCTCCTGAGTAGCTGGGATTGCAGGCATGTGACACCACACCCAGGTAATTTTGTATTTTTAGGAGAGATGGGGTTTCTCAATGTCAGTCAGGCTGGTCTCAAACTCCTGACCTCTGCTGATCCGCCCGTCTCCGCCTCTCAAGGTGCTGGAATTACAGGCGTGAGCCACTGTGCCCGGTGTGACTCTTAGTAGTTTTTAAACCAAACTTCCCAAATCTCATTTCTGGCAGAAAGCTCAAACCAGAGTGGCCCTTGAGCAAAAGCAGGTGAAGCAGCGCCACCTTTACAACACTAAGATTTCAAACCTAAACAAAGAGATGATCCCAGAATACGTACTCTTTGCCGGTGTGGCTGGGTCCACCTGCATCTAGAGAAAAAGAAAACACCATGAGGGTCAGACCATGCTGTCTCCTGTGTGCACAGGTCTTCACTTGTTGACGTTAAAAAGCCAGATGGTAAACAGTGGTTGAGACAATGGCCCCGGTATCTAGAAGACATTCCTGGAAAGGCACAGGATTTCTGTGCAACATTTTCAATTGTTTTTCTTTGACAATTCCAAACTCTTCTCAAGAAGAAGGCATTTCTCTTAAGGAAAATGCCTGCTGACACACAGTTTGTAAGTGTGGATGCCATCTGAAACCACTGTTTAGTTGATAATGAACTCTGGCATTTGCCCACCAAGAAATTCTGTCAGTCACCTATAGTGTACATGGTGAGATGTATACATCTTAATTCAATTGAAACAGAGAAACCGAGAGAAATAAAATTTCCTTTTCAGAGGAAAGAAGACGACTTTACCATGTGAACCCCTGTGGCTTCCTCAGAGACTGTCTGCCCTGGCAGATGCTCCTCCAGGTCTTCCAGGTCACCTAGGAAACAGAGTCGCTATAAGCACATGAGCTCCACTGAGTGAATCCCTCAGGTGGTCTTGGAGCTGTGGACACGGGGCTGGCGTGTGTGGAAAGGTGTGTTCACAGCACAGACTCAGCTGCTGCCGGTCTATCCTCCATGGTGGAGAGGGAAGGCAAATGGTGAAGGAGGGCACCAGGAAGGTCTCAGAAGACAGAGCCTTGGTCCTCTAGCTACGCCAACCTCTTCGACATGAAAGAGCCCATCTCAAACAGGGCACACCACACCGTGTTTCACTGCAGCATCCAGGGCTCCTCCTTCCTAATCTGACCTCAGCTAACTTGTCCTCCCTTCTTTATCCCCTCGAGGTCATTTCCTCCCCGGATCCACCTGTCCTGCTGCTATGTTTTTTGTCCCTCCCAGAACTTGCTTTTTTTTTTTTTTTTTTGAGATGGAGTTTCTCTTTTCTTGCCCAGGCTGGAGTATAATGGTGCCATCTCGACCCACCACAACCTGTGCCACCTGGGTTCAAGGGATTCTCCAGTCTCAGCCTCCTGAGTAGCTAGGATTACAGGCATGCATCTCCATGCTTGGCTAATTCTGTATTTTTAGGAGAAACGGGTTTTCTCCATGTTGGTCAGTCTGGTCTCGAACTCTCAACCTCAGGTAATCTGCGCGCCTTGGCCTCCCAAAGTGCTGGGGTTACAGGCGTCAGTCACCATGTCACAACTTTTGTACTAGATAAAAAGCAACCCTTCCTCAAAGAGGAGACTTAATTCTAACTAAAATATCCTACGTATTCACTAACCTTTTGTTTTAAAGAAGACTAAGCCAAGATTTGAAAATACTCAATTATCCTACCATTTAAAGATGACTGCTACTTGGCCCATGATGTTTGTGCTTCTGCTCTTCCTTTTAACACAGTGTGTGTGTGCCATGGGACCTGCTGCTGCTCATGCTCACACTGGCTCCAGCACTAGGACAGCCCATCATGGGGGGCAGCAGGTGGGGGCGCTGAACCTCTCCAACCCAGCTGTGTAGAAGAGTCCAGCAGAGAAGATGAGGACCAGGGTAACATCCAAGTTTTTCCTTCGGTTCTTATTTGGTGCTGTGTCTTGGGGGTATGTGCTGAACTGCAGCATATGTAAGGCTTGTGGAGATTATGCCATTAAATACAATATAACACGCCTGATTACTTTGTGCTTTTGATCAGGACATGAGAAAATAACACAGCACTGCATGAGCCACCCTCCATCATGCTAGGAAGGCAAGTGCTCACCCTGCCTCTCAGACCCTAGGGCAAACCCCTTGGTTTTCTTTTCATGTAGTTTCTGAGCTGAGCACACAGAAACCATGACTAGGCTGAGGGATACAAGGCTGAAACTCTACATGACCCTGGAATTATCCATTCTGGGCCCCATTACTTATGGTCAATATGAGACCTCTATGGAGAAAGTTGGGGTGATTTCCCCCTAACCCCGCCTGCAGGCTCCTCTCTTCTCAGTTTCCCAGCAGAACTCGCTGTAGCATGAGGCTGCTCCAGGGTCTAAATGCACAGGAAGAAGCCCTGCCCCACTCTCCCTGCTCAAGATGGGTGGTGGAGGGTCAGTTCTGAGGGCTTTGGTAGATAAAAGGCTTGTAAAGGAGGGAAGGGGCTAGAGTGAGGTGTCATGCCATTCTAGTGGCAGAGGAAATAGAAAGGCCTGTGAAGAGGTGAGGTTTATTAGAAAATAAAGTATAGCAGGGAATTCTCAATGAAAAAATAAAATCAGCAGAGATTCTGACACAGTCCTGTTCTATGGGTGTGCAGTAAGAATTTGCCTTTGTGTTGACAGGATTTCTTTTAGGTTTATTGAAGTGCCCTGTGCATGAAATAAACTGCAAACATTGGAAGCTTACAAGTTAATCTTTTTTTGTGCCTACAATAGGACCGCAATGGTGACGGAAATCTCTGTTGAGAATGTGGACACTAGAAACTCTGGGGATATGTAGTATGGAAACCCACACACCCCCCCACCAGACACACGGACCATGGCACCACATGAATTCACAAAAGACATGGCAGGCCCCTTGCACGGGATCCCACCCCACCTTCAGAGAACACAGTTGTTCCCGGGGACTGCAGAATGTGGCCACTGTTTCTTATCTAGAAAAACCATTTCTCCCATCACAGTCTAGGTCCTCATTCACAACATGAAGCTCAGCTCAGGCTGCCTGTCTACAGGAAAGCCTGTGAGACAGGGCCACATTCCTCAACATCTGGATTACTCATCAGTATGAGAGGGGTTCCCCAATACGTACCACGTTGTGGAACTCCCAAGGATGTCTGTAATGACAGAAAATAAATTGCTATGAGCATCAGACCATGCTGTGTCCTGTGAGCACAGGACTTTTCTTCACTTAGTGACATTAGAAAACAAGATGGAAAAACCAGTGTTCAAAGGAACCCCAAAGAAGAACAGAGCAAATCAACTCATACTAAAGACACAAATTTTTCTCAGAGGATATTTCCTCTCAAGTCCATGTTGGTTGGCAAGTAACTGATTTTGCTCCAAAGAGAGAACAAAATTAGTAAGGCAAAAGCTCCCTGCCCCACAATGTGTGACTGATGCTGTCATTTTCTCCCACTGTTTTAAATCAAGCCTCAGTGGGGACAGACTCTCACTTACAATTCCCCCCAAGGACACTGTGTAACTAAGATACATATTGTCAGAGTCTCATATCTTAATTTAATCCAAATCAGATAAAGCTAAGAAAGCAACAGTTTTTTCTCAGACAAATCCAGGTGGCCTGACCTTCATCGCCTCTTGGTACTTCTTCCATGTGCTGTATAGGTGGAGCTCCCGTAGTCGCCGTAGTTGCCGTTTCATCTCAACTAGGAGGATACAGAGTGACCGTCAGCACCTTGGTGGTGGCGCTCATGAACAATTCAGTAACACTGCTTGAGGTGGGCTTGGGAGGAGGGTAGCAGGCACAGGAGAGATGCAGGAAGAAAGGGAATCAGGGCCTTTGGCTTCCTAGCTCCAGGCCGCCTCATAAACATATAATAGCCAATCTCAAACAGTGCACACCAGCAGTGCAGGCTGTGTGTCCCTGGCAGCCTCTTAGGGCTCCTCCTTCCTAATCTGACCTGAGCTAACTTGCCCTCTTATTGATCCCTGCCAAAGTCATTTCCTCCTCAGAATCCACATGTGCTGCTGATCTGTTTATCATCCCTTCTAGAAGATTTTGTACTAAACAAGAAGTAACCTTTCTTACAATAGGAGATTTAATTCTAGCCAAAAGATTTTATTACTAACTTTCTGTTACAAGGCAAATAAACAGAGATTTGAAAATACTCTATTATCCTACCATTTAACGATGACCCCTACTTAGCATGTGATATTTGTTCTTCCGCTCTTCCTTTTCAACACCATGTGTGTGCACCATGGAGTTCACTGCTGCTCATGCTCACACTGACTCCAGCACAGAGACAGTCTGTCATGGGGAGCAGCGAGGCGGGGCAAGGGGTGGGCACTGACCCTCTCCAACCCAGCTGTGCAGAGATTCCAGCAGGGAAAATGGGTGCCAGGCTAACACCCAAGTTGAGTCTTGAGATTTTATTGGATGCTATGTGTTGGGATTGGTTTCCACTGAATTTCTAAGACTTGCGGTGATTATCTCCTTAAATACAATAGAGTATGTCACTGATTATTGTCTGCTTTTGAACAGGAGCTGAGGAATGACCTCAACACTGTAGACCAAAAGCCTGAGGACTCTGTGTGTTTTACATTAATGATCACACTAAAGCCCACTGTGCACTGTACCTACTCAAACAAACCCTGGGTTAGCTGACCATTGAGACCATCCGATAATGATAGTGTTTGGGATCTGAATAGGTTTTCATTCTTCCAGCACACAGAAGTGCTGGAATAACTTGGCCTAGCAAGAAATTATACCAGGGCTTTGTGACAAATTCAGTGTAGTAGCCCATGGCATTAACCTTCCACTCATTCCCGAGTTCACATGTGCCTCTTCCATTTAAAAGACCAGGAGCTTGGGAAATTCAACTCTGCAGCATGTCCATCTGAGGACTGGGGATATTAAACTTATCTTCAGGTACAGCTGTGGTGGAGGATGAATGGGTAGCTGAGTAGCTGGTATTACAGACATGTGCTCCCTGAGTAGCTGGTATTAAAGACATGTGCTTCCTGAGTAGCTGGTAT
Source organism: Homo sapiens (assembly GCF_000001405.40). Lineage (NCBI taxonomy): Eukaryota > Metazoa > Chordata > Mammalia > Primates > Hominidae > Homo > Homo sapiens. The sequence continues at coordinate 178,037,507 of NC_000005.10, read as the reverse complement.
TAGAGACATGTGCTCCCATGCCCAGCTAATTTTGTATTTTTAGTAGAGATGGGGTTTCTCTATGTTGATCAGGCTGGTCTTGAACTCCTGACCTTAGGTGATCCACCCTCCTTGGCCTCCCAAAGCACTGGGATTACAGGCATGAGCCACCGTCTTCAGCCAGAACATTTTGTACGAGGTAAAAAGCAACCTTTCTTCAAAGAGGTGATATAATTCTAGCCAAAATATTCTACATATTCACTAACCTTTTGTTTCAAAGAAGACTAAACCAAGATTTGAAAACACTCAATTATCCTACCATTTAAAGATGACCTCTACTTGGCCTGTGATATTTGTCCTTCTGCTCTTTCTTTTAACACTGTGTGTGTGTGTCATGGGGCCTGCTGTTGCTCATACTCACACTGGCTCCAGGAATGGGACAGCCCTTCATGGGTGACAGCAGGTGGGGGCGCTGACCCTCTGTTACCCAGCTGTGCAGAGATTCCAGCAGACGAGATGGGCACCAGGCTAACAGCCAATTGGCTCTGTGAGATCTTGTTGGGTGCTGTGTGTTGGGTATGTGTGCTACTGAATTGGAGCATTTCTAACATTTCTGGTGATGATCTCATTAAATATAATAGAATATATCTCTGAATGTTCTCTGCCCTTGACCAGGAACTGAGGAATACCCCATCACTTAAGACCAAAGGCCCGGCAGCTCCCTCTGTATGTTTCATATTAATGACCGCACCCAAGTTCACTGTACAATGAACCTACTCAAACTCTGGGTCAGCTGACCATTGAGACCATTCTATTGTGGTATACAGTGCTGGAGATCTTTATAGGCCAACATACTTCCACATACACATAGATGCTAAGGACTCTCTGACATGGTGACAAGTTACACCAGGGCCATGTTATAACTTCAGACTAGTAGCCCACAGCATCACTCTTCCACCCATTCCCGAGTTCATCTATGCCATTTCCATTTAGGAGACCAAAAGCCTGAAAAATTCATCTCTACATCATCTCCATGTGAGGACTTGGGATATTAAACTTACCTTCAGCTACAGCTGTGGTGAGGAATGAATGGGTTGATTTTTTGCAAAAATGCAGTGGTGATCAAATTTTGTTTCTAGAATATCAATCTTTGTGTTGTGCTTTGCATATGGGAACGTATTTTCTGGGGAAAAGCACACAAACTCGCAGAGACATTCACAATCATTCCACATTGACTCATTCCTCCATACCTCCCAACTCTGATTCACAACACCCTCTTCTATCCAAATGACCCTGTTCCTTCCAAGCACCAGAGTCAACGGTCACATTTCTTGACCAGGTTCTTCACTTGTCAAGACAAAAGTGCTTGAACCACATTTCTGGCAGGAAGTTCAAACCAGAGTGGCTCTCCAGAAAAAATGAGGCAAGAAAGTGTCACCTTTGTCAACACTAGAATTTTTCCTCAGCATAGGGGTGATTCCAGAATACGTACTGTCTCTCTCTGTGTCTTTGTCCACCTGCATTTAGAGAAAAACAAAACACTACAAGGGTCAGACCATGCTGTGTCCTGTGTGCACAGGTTTTCCTTTTCCCTCCCTCCCTTCCTTCTTTTCTCTTTCTTTCTTTCCTTTCTTTTCTTTCTTTTTCTTTCTTTCTCTTTTTCTCTTTCCTTCCTTCTTTCTTTCCCTTCCTTCTTTCTCTTCCTTCTTCCCTTCCCTTCTTCCTTCCTTCCTGCCTCTCTCTCTCTCTCTCTCTCTCCCCTACTCCCTCTCTCCCTTCCTCTCTCCCTTTCTTTGCTGGAATTTCGCTCTGTCACCCAGGCTGGAGTACAGTGTCATGATCATGGCTCACTGCAACATCCGCCTCCTGGCCTCAAGCGATCCTGCTCCCTTAGCCTCCCCAGTAGCTGAGATTACAGCAGCCGGTCAGCATGCCCAGCTAATTTTTGTATTTTTAGTAGAGATGGGGTTTCACCATACAAGTCTTTTCTTTACTTGGTGACATTAGAAAAGCAGATGGGAGACAGTGGTTGAGGCAATGGTCCTAAAGCCTCGAAGACACTTCTGGAAAGGCACAAGATTTTTATGCAAGACTTTCAAGATTGTTTTGGTTGTATAGTCACAATGTTGTAAGAAGAAAGCTTTTCCCCTAACAAAAATTCTTTCTGCCATACAGTTCATAACTGAAGGTGTCATCTAAGAATGCCATCTGAGATCATTTCTTACCTGGTAATGACCCTCACATTTTCCCACCAAAATATTCTGTAAGTCATCTATAATGTACATGGTAAGATTTTCATATCTCAATTCAAATAAAATAAAAAAGAACCAAGAGCAACAAAATTTCCATCTCAGAAACATAAAGAAGAACTTACCATATGAACGCCCAGGACATCTTCAGATGAAGCTTCCTGCACCAGGTCCTCATCGTAATCTAGGAAACACAGAGTAACTGTCATCATGTTGGTTCCACTGAAGGAATCCCTTAGGCAACCTTGGATGCTAAGGACAGGGGGCTGGCATGTGTAAAGGAGGTGGGTTAAGGGTAGAAACTTGGCTGCCACTGGGACACCCTCCTGGGTGATGAGGGAAGGCAAATGAGACCATCAGGAAAGCCACAGAAGTCAGGACCTGGTTCTCTGGCTAAGCCCCCACACCACTGCGAAAAAGGCAGAGTTCACACAGGGTGGCACACAAATGCACTGCTGATTTCATGACAGTGTCCCATCACCCCCTTGTGCATTTTGAGGCCCGGTAAATTTCTTTTGTTGTTGAAATGTTATAATGTCATTTATCTTTCCTTGATCTACATATGCTCCTCCTGTACTTATCATCCATTTAATTGGCTTTAAAATCAGTATTGTGGCCAAAATACATCGTATTTATTATTTTAATAATCAAGTGCACACTTCAGGGGCATCAGTGCCATTCACAGTTCTGTGCAGTAAACTAAATGTAATCCAAATCCAGATGTCTTACTTTCCACCTTAGGAAACTAGAGAAAAAAGTATAGTGTAATGTAAACCAGGCAACCCTCCTCCCCCAAAATATAACAATATTTGCAGAAATCAATGTAATAGAAATAATAAAATAAAGAAACTCAACAAAACCAAAAGCTGCTTCTTAGAAAAGATCAATAGAATTGGTAAACCTCCAGCAAGGCTAATCACAAAGAAAATACAGAAGACACGATGTACAAACAATATGAATAGAAGAGGAATTATCCTTGCTGATCCCATGATCATTAAGAAAATAATAACAGAATACTTTCAACAAATCTATGCCTGCAATTTTTTAAGTGCAGGAGTGAAAGTCTATTGAAAAGTTTGAGAGTAGGAATGACAGGAAGCACAGTAGCCTTTGATGAGAACCAAGCAGGCAACTTGTCAGATTCAAGTGTCTACACCCACAAATTTCCTAGCTTAGATGAAATGGACAAATGCCTTCAAAGAGAGAAACTACCATAACCACCCAAAGGAGAGATAGATAATCTGAGTAGGCCTCTATCATTATAGAATTTAATCAGGAAGTAATAACTTTAAAAAAAAATGCCCACATAATTGTACTGGTGAATTCTGCCTAACACAATGGAAAACATAGTCTTACCAGCAAGTGATCAAAATTCTACATATTTACCCAGCTAAATTAGAAAATTATGTTCATCTTAAAATCTGCACAAGAATGTGGGCAGCTTTATTCATAATTACCCAAATTGGAAGCAGCTGAGATGGTCTTCAGGCGGTGAGTGAACCAACTAACCCTGTTCGATGAAACCAATGGACTATTGTTCACTGATAAGAATTATTAAGCTGTTAAGCTTCAAAACGATACAAAAGATCTTACATGTATATTGCTAAGTAAAATAAGTTAGTTATACGTAGCTACATACTCTATGATTCCAACTCTATAAAATTCTGGAAAAGGAAACCTATAGAGGCAGTAAAATCATCCATAGTTGTCAGGAATCCTCAGAAAAGGAGAGGAATTAGTAGATGCAGCTCAGGTCATGTGTAGGATGTGAAATTATTCCGTCAGGGTGACAAAAGACATTGTCAGTTTGTCAAAACCCATAGGCTGGACAACACAGAGTGAACCTTGATGCTAACCCTAGATTTCTGTTCATAAGAATGTATCACTATTGGCTCAGTCACTGATGCTAACCTTGGATTTCTGTTCATAAGAATGTATCACTATTGGCTCAGTCATTGTTACGAGCGTTATCACACTCACAAAGATGGGATCACCAAAAAACACTGAGGAAGGTGGGTATATGGAAATTTTTGTTGCCACTTCCTCCATTTTTCGGTTACTTCCAAACAGTTTGAAGTGATGTCCATTACTTTACAAACCTGGCAACACTGTCTCAGAAAAAGATCCTTTTTAATTAATGTTTTAACAATCAGCAAAATGTCTACAATTTGCACTGAGATGTTATTTACTATTAAAAGTAAACCCAAATCTGGAATGGAAATACACCTTTACTCCTCTGGTTGTAGCACTAGTGATTGACTTAACACATTTAAATATGCACACATGAAATAAAGAATATAGCATCGCAATTTTATAATTGTCTGAAATATGAGACACTGAAGAATCTAGAAATCATATCATGAATGAACTGAATGACTGAATTTCCACAACACCTTCCATTGATGCAACTCTAGGGTATATATGGCCGGGATGCCAGTGATACCAGTGATAGGTGATTGGCTTCTCACGCTCGCGGTGGCAGACGGTGGATTCCCCTGGCATCCTAGGATACACTATTTCATCCTTGCCACAACACACTGGGAAATGAATTAAAATAAAGACAGGTGTTGGTGTCTTGCCGCAAAAGATCAGAGAAATGAGTAATTATTTATTCACAGCTTAAATGTTTGATTCCATTGTTCATCATCTGCAGAGCAAAGCCCCCTGAATCTGAGTTGGGCTTCAGAAAGACTTGCACTGTGGGTTGCACGTATAAGTGTGCAGGCAAATGCCTGTATTGAGATGAGACATTACAGAAAGGTAGTAGATTGGAGTGACCAAGAGCATAGGGTCCGGAGCATAGGATCTGAGCTCAGGGACTTCTGAGAAGCTGCTAGAACCTGAGGAAGTTCTATAGATCCCTCTGTGCCTCCTAATGGCCTACGTTATGTTAAAAGGGTAAGAAGAATTAAATGGACCTAAAGCCTTAAAACGGGTGCTTCCTAAGTGCCATAAAGTGTTCAATTATTTCATGTCTGGAAGAATAAGCCAGGCCCTTGGTAGTGGTTAATAGAGAAGCCACTTGGGGGACTCCAGGGCAGTGGAGGCTAAAATTCTTTTCATTCTTGACATGGGTCTCATGCTTTAGAACTCGTGAAAAGTTTTTGTTTGAATTTCCTGTGATGCCCACGTCGGCCCAGAGAGATGGGCAGAGCAGGGGCTGCCACTCAGAGTTGACGGTTCAGGGAAGTGAAATGAAGAGATTTGAAGCGACCTGCCTAGGGTCACAACACTGACGAATGATAGATCTGCGACAAGAATTTGGTTGGTTTTCTGGGGACAGAGATCCCTGAATACCTGAGGCCTCTAAATCATGGCCTGGACCCTGAACCTGGAGCTCTTTCCACTCCCTTTCTCAATCCTCCTGCACCAAGGGCTCTTCAGGAAGGTTGATGTATTTGGAAGAGGTGGTGAGTCCAGAAAAAAGCCAAATCATTTAACAAAACAAAACTCCTGTCTCTAGGTTTTAACTCCTGGGCTAAAATATGGCACTTTCCCGCAAACGAAGCCTCTCTGAGGAACAAATTCAAATGTCTGGTCATCCTACCCATTGCCCTGTATTGTCAGCTGTCTGGCAGTGAGCACCCCTCCATGACCAACTGACCACAGCAAGGGACCAAGTTCTGCTTGGCCCCCAAGGTAGTTCGGAACTTAGGACATTCCAAACTAACTACCACTTGATGGCTGTGCCAAGAATAAACTTCCCTTCAACTGAACCATTCTGAAGAAGCAATTAATGGGAATTAACTGAAAATGTGGCCCCCCAGTGGATTTTTCAGCAGTTTATTCTGTATCTAGTCTATGAAAGAGTGTGTGTGGCGGGGGAGGCCGGGTGTGGTGGCTCACACCTGTATCCCAGCACTTTGGGAGGCCAAGGTGGGCAGATCACAAGGTCAGGAGTTCAAGACCAGCCTGGTCAATATGGTGAAACCCTGTCTCTACTAAAAATACAAAAATTAGCCAGGCATGGTGGCAGGCACCCATAGTCCCAGCTACTTGGGAGGCTGAGGCAGGAGAATCACTTGAACCTGGGATGCAGAGGTTGCAAAGAGCTGAGATTGTGCCACTGCACTCCAGCCTGGGTGACAGAATGAGACTCTGCCAAAAAAAAAAAAAAAAAAAAAAGAAAAGTCCAGGCACTGTGGCTCATGCCTGTAATCCCATCACTTTGGGAGGCCAAGGAAGGTGGATCAGGAGGTCAGGAGTTCAAGACCTCCCTTGCCAACATGGTAAAACCCTGTCTCTACTAAACATACGAAAATTAGCCAGGCGTGGTGGCGGATGCCTGTAATCCCAGCTACTCAGGAGGCTGAGGCAGGAGAATTGCTTAAACCTGGGAGGTGGAGGTTGCTGTGAGTCATTATCACACCACTGCATTCTAGCCTAGGCAACAGAGCAAGACTCTTCACTCTTCCAAAAAAAAAAAAAAATTGGCATTGGAAACAGTGTATTTTCTAGAGAAAAGTATTTGAGGCAAAAATCTTGATAGAAGAATAAAAAAACACAAATTGAGTAATAAAACTCTGAAACATATTTATAAATCTGTAGACAAATAGGAGCTGGGGAAATTAAAAAAATCAGAATGACATTTAACATACAGGAAAACTGGCTCATCTGAAGAAATTGCAGTCAGAAGATGGAAATGAACATACATACCTTCGAGGCAACAACTATAAGCACATCCCATTGTGAGTCCTCTGAGACAACTAAGCTGCGTTTACTGCCAACGTTCAGTTGCCAGAATGGCAGTTAAAATGAAAGGCAAGACCTATATCATCAGATCACCTCAGCAACAGGTCACAGTAGAATTTTCGCAAGCATCCATGTCACAATATGGGGCCCAACTGCTGTGATCTAGACCAGTCCATTGTCACATCGACAAGGGGTCACTTAGACTCCATGTTTCATTTCAAAAACTGAATCTCAGACACACAGTATTATTCTATGTGTATGAAACAAACATTAAAGGAGGAAAAAGATTTGCCTCTCAAATATATTTGATAGTGAAAATTTCAGGGTAAAGATAAGAAAAGCTAATACATTGAGAATAAAGGGAGATTCCAGCCTTGATGTGAAATGCCTTCCCCACCAATTTCTACTATTCCTGAGTCACCAGAGAGTCCTAGCTTCAACAATTCTAAACTAGCTCCAAATTACATTTAAAATGCATTAGTGTAACTTCAATTTTAAAGCCAATCTCTAACAATATAATTCATAGTAATAAAAAAAGATATGATTCAGTACAACTTTCCATCACTGTTGATTCATCACAAGTTTTAAGAACTATTAAATCAAATGGGTCATTAATGAGGCATAAAAACTGCATTAATAGGGGGTGGAGCCAAGATGGCCGAATAGGAACAGCTCCAGTCTGCAGCTCCCAGCGTGAGCGATGCAGAATACGAATGATTTCTGCATTTCCAACTGAGGTACCAGGTTCATCTCATTGGGGATTGTCGGAGAGTGGGTGCAGGACAGTGGGTGCAGCCCACCGAGTGTGAGCTGAAGCAGGGCAAGGCATTGCCTCACCCAGGAAGTGCAAAGGGTCAGGGAATTCCCTCCCCTAGCCAAGGAAAGGGATGACAGACGGCACCTGGAAAATCAGGTCACTCCCACCCTAATACTGCGCTTTTCCAATGGTCTTAGCCAACGGCACACCAGGAGATTATATCCTGTACCTGGCTCGGAGGGTCCTACGCCCATGGAGCCTCGCTCATTGCTAGCACAGCAGTCTGAGATCAAACTGCAAGGCTGAAGCGAGGCTGGGGTAGGGGCGCCCGCCATTGCCCAGGCTTGAGTAGGTAAACAAAGTGGCTGGGAAGCTCTAACTGGGTGGAGCCCACTGCAGCTCAAGGAGGCCTGCCTGCCTCTGTAGACTCCACCTCTGGGGGCAGGGCATAGCCAAACAAAAGGCAGCAGAAACCTCTGCAGACTTAAATGTCCCTGTCTGACAGCTTTGAGGAGAATAGTGGTTCTCCCAGCACACAGTTTGAGATCTGAGAACAGACAGACTGCCTCCTCAAGTGGGTCCCTGACCCCCAAGTAGCCTAACTGGGAGGCACCACCCAGTAGGGGCAGACTGACACCTCACATGGCCGGCTACTCCTCTGACACAAAACTTCCAGAGGAACAATCAGGCAGCATCATTTGCTGTTCCTCAATATTCGCTGTTCTGCAGCCTCCACTGCTGACACCCAGGCAAACAAGGTCTGGAGTGAACCTCCAGCAAACTCCAACAGACCTGCAGCTGAGGGTCCTGGCTGTTAGAAGGATAACTAACAAACAGAGAAAGGACATCCACACCAAAACCCCATCTGTATGTCACCATCATCAAAGACCAAGGGTAGATAAAACCACAAAGATGGGGAAAAACAGAGCAGAAAAACTCAAAATTCTAAAAATCAGAGTGCCTCTCCTCCTCCAAAGGAATGCAGCTCCTCACCAGTAACGGGACAAAGCTGGATGGAGGATGACTTTGACGAGTAGAGAAGAAGGATTCAGATGATCAAACTTCTCTGAGCTAAAGGAGGAAGTTCAAACCAATGGCAAAGAAGTTAAAAACCTTGAAAAAAGATTAAATGAATGGCTAACTAGAATAACCAATGCAGAGAAGGCCTTAAATGACCTGATGGAGCTGAAAACCATGGCATGAGAACGATGTGACAAATGCACAAGCCTCAGTAGCCGATTCGATCAACTGGAAGAAAGGGTATCAGTGATGGAAGATCAAATGAATGAAATGAAGCGAGAAGAGAAGTTTAGAGAAAAAAGAATAAAAAGAAACAAACAAAGCCTCCAAGAAATATGGGACTATGTGAAAAGACCAAATCTATGTCTGATTGGTGTACCTGAAAGTGATGGGGAGAATGGAACCAAGTTGGAAAACACTCTGCAGGATATTATCCAGGAGAACTTCCCCAATCTAGCAAGGCAGGCCAACGTTCAGATTCAGGAAATACAGAGAATGCCACAAAGATACTCCTCGAGAAGAGGAACTCCAAGACACATAATTGTCAGATTCACCAAAGCTGAAATGAAGGAAAAAATGTTAAGGGCAGCCAGAGAGAAAGGTCGGGTTACCCTCAAAGGGAAGCCCATCAGACTAACAGCTGATCTCTCGGCAGAAACTCTACAAGCCAGAAGAGAGTGGGGGCCAATATTCAACATTCTTAAAGAAAAGAATTTTCAACCCTGAATTTCATATCCAGCCAAACTAAGCTTCATAAGTGAAGGAGAAATAAAATCCTTTACAGACAAGCAAATGCTGAGAGATTTTGTCACCACCAGGCCTGCCCTAAAAGAGCTCCTGAAGGAAGCACTAAACATGGAAAGGAACAACCGGTACCAGCCACTGCAAAACCATGCCAAATTGTAAAGACCATCAAGGCTAGGAAGAAACTGCGTCAACTAACGAGCAAAATAACCAGCTAACATAATAATGACAGGATCAAATTCACACATAACAATATTAACCTTAAATGTAAATGGGCTAAATGCTCCAATTAAAAGACACAGACTGGCAAATTGGATAAAGAGTCAAGACCCATCAGTGTGCTATATTCAGGAAACCCATCTCACGTGCAGAGACACACACAGGCTCAGAATAAAGGGATGGAGGAAGATCTACCAAGCAAATGGAAAACAAAAAAAGGCACGGGTTGCAATCCTAGTCTCTGATAAAACAGACTTTAAACCAACAAAGATCAAAATAGACAAAGAAGGCCATTACATAATGGTAAAGGGATCAATTCAACAAGAACAGCTAACTATCCTAAATATATATGCACCCAATACAGGAGCCCCCAGATTCATAAAGCAAGTCCTTAGAGACCTACAAAGAGACTTAGACTCCCACACAATAATAATGGGAGACTGTAACACCCCACTGTCAACATTAGACAGATCCACGAGACAGAAAGTTAACAAGGATATCCAGGAATTGAACTCAGCTCTGCACCAAGCAGACCTAATAGACATCTACAGAACTCTCCACCCCAAATCAACACAATATACGTTCTTCTCAGCACCACATCGCACTTATTCCAAAATTGACCACATAGTTGGGAGTAAAGCACTCCTCAGCAAATGTAAAAGAACAGAAGTTATAACAAACTGTCTCTCAGACCACAGTGCAATCAAACTAGAACTCAGGATTAAGAAACTCACTCAAAACCACTCAACTACATGGAAACTGAACAACCTGCTCCTGAATGACTACTGGCTACATAACAAAATGAAGGCAGAAATAAAGATCTTCTTTGAAACCAATGAGAACAAAGACACAACATACCAGAATCTCTGGGACACACTTAAAGCAGTGTGTTAGAGGGAAATTTATAGCACTAAATGCCCACAAGAGAAAGCAGGAAAGATCTAAAATTAACACCCTAACATCACAATTAAAAGAACTACAGAAGCAAGAGCAAACATATTCAAAAGCTAGCAGAAGCAAGAAATAACTAAGATCAGAGCAGAACTGAAGGAAACAGAGACACAAAAAGCCCTTCAAAAAATCAATGAATCCAGGAGCTGGTTTTTTGAAAAGATCAACAAAATTGATAGACTGCTAGCAAGACTAACAAGAAAAGAGAGAAGAATCAAATAGAGGCAATAAAAAATGGTAAAGGAGAGATCACCACCGATCCCACAGAAATACAAATGACCGTCAGAGAATACTATAAACACCTCTACACAAATAAACTAGAAAAACTAGAAGAAATGGATAAATTCCTCGACACATACACCTTCCCAAGACTAAACCAGGAGGAAGTTGAATCTCTGAATAGACCAATAACAGGCTCTGAAATTGAGGCAATAATTAATAGCTTACCAACCAAAAAAAGTCCAGGACCAGATGGATTCACAGCCGAATTCTACCAGAGGTACAAGGAGGAGCTGGTACCATTCCTTCTGAAACTATTCCAATCAATAGAAAAAGAGAGAATCCTCCCTAACTCATTTTATGAGGCCAGCATCATCCTGATACCAAAGCCTGGCAGAGACACAACAAAAAAAAAAGAGAATTTTAGACCCATATCCCTGATGAACATTGATGCAAAAATCCTCAATAAAATACTGGCAAACCGAATCCAGCAGCACATCAAAAAGCTTATCCAACACGATCAAGTGGGCTTCATCCCTGGGATGCAAGGCTGGTTCAACATACGCAAATCAATAAACGTAATCCAGCATATAAACAGAACCAAAGACAAAATCCACATGATTATCTCAATAGATGCAGAAAAGGCCTTTGACAAAATTCAACAGCCCTTCATGCTAAAAACTCTCAATAAATTAGTTATTGATGGGACGTATCTCAAAATAATAAGAGCTATGTATGACAAACCCACAGCCAATATCATACTGAATGGGCAAAAACTGGAAGCATTCCCTTTGAAAACTGGCACAAGACAGGGATGCCCTCTCTCACCACTCCTCTTCAAAATGGTGTTGGAAGTTCTGGCCAGGGCAATCAGGCAGAAGGAAATAAAGGGTATTCAATTAGGAAAAGAGGAAGTCAAATTGTCCCTGTTTGCAAATGACATGATTGTATATCTAGAAAACCCCATCGTCTCAGCCCAAAATCTCCTTAAGCTGATAAGCAACTTCAGCAAAGTCTCAGGATACGAAATCAATGTACAAAAATCACAAGCATTCTTATACACCAATAACAGACAAACAGAGAGCCAAATCATGAGTGAACTCCCATTCACAATTGCTTCAAAGGGAATAAAATACCTAGGAATCCAACTTCCAAGGGATGTGAAGGGTCTCTTCAAGGAGAACTACAAACCACTGCTCAATGAAATAAAAGAGGATACAAACAAATGGAAGAACATTCCATGCTCATGGGTAGAAAGAATCAATATTGTGAAAATGGCCATACTGCCCAAGGTAATTTATAGATTCAATGCCATCCCCGTCAATCTACCAATGACTTTCTTCACTGAATTGGAAAAAACTACTTTAAAGTTCATATGGAACCAAAAAAGAGCCCGCATCGCCAAGTCAATCCTAAGCCAAAAGAACAAAGCTGGAGGCATCACGCTTCCTGACTTCAAACTATACTACAAGGCTACAGTAACCAAAACAGCATGGTACTGGTACCAAAACAGAGATATAGACCAATGGAACAGAACAGAGCCCTCAGAAATAATGCCACATATCTACAACTATCTGATCTTTGATAAACCTGACAAAAACAAGAAATGGGGAAAGGATTCCCTATATAATAAATGGTGCTGGGAAAACTGGCTAGCCATATGTACAAAGCTGAAACTAGATCCCTTCCTTACACCTTTTACAAAAATTAATTCAAGATGGATTAAAGACTTAAATGTTAGACTTAAACCATAAAAACCCTAGAAGAAAACCTAGGCAATACCATTCAGAACATAGGCATGGGCAAGGACTTCATGTATAAAACACCAAAAGCAATGACAACGAAAGCCAAAATTAACAAATGGGATCAGTTAAACTATAGAGCTTCTGCACAGAAAAGAAACTACCATCAGAGTGAACAGGCAACCTAAGGAATGGGAGAAAAATTTTTGCAATCTACTCATCTGATAAAGGGCTAATATCCAGAATCTACAAAGAACTCAAACAAATTTACAAGAAAAAAACAACCCCATTAAGAAGTGGGCAAAGGATACGAAGAGACACTTCTCAAAAGAAGACATTTATGCAGCCAACAGACACATGAAAAAATGCTCATCATCACTGGCCATCAGAGAAATGCAAATCAAAACCACGATGAGATACCATCTTACACCAGTTAGAATAGCGATCATTAAAAAGTCAGGAAACAACAGGTGCTGGAGAGGATGTGGAGAAATAGGAACATTTTTACACTGTTGGTGGGACTGTAAACTAGTTCAACCATTGTGGAAGAGAGAGTGGTGATTTCTCAGGGATCTAGAACTAGAAATACCATTTGACCCAGCCATCCCATTACTGGGTATATACCCAGAGGATTATAAATCATGCTGCTATAAAGACATGCACACGTATGTTTATTGTGGCACTATTCACAATAGCAAAGACTTGGAACCAACCCAAATGTCCAACAATGATAGACTGGATTAAGAAAATGTGGCACATATATACCATGGAATACTGTGCAGCCATAAAAAATGATGAGTTCATGTCCTTTGTAGGGACATGGATGAAGCTGGAAACCATCATTCTCAGCAAACTATAGCAAGGACAAAAAACCAAATACCACATGTTCTCACTCATAGGTGGTAATTGAACAATGAGAACACATGCACACAGGAAGGGGAGCATCACACACTGGGGCCTGTTGTGGGGTGGGGGGTGGGGGGAGGGATAGCATTAGGAGATATACCTAATGTTAAATGACAAGTTAATGGGTGCAGCACACCAACATGGCACATGTATACATATGTAACAAACCTGCACGTTGTGCACATGTACCCTAAAACTTAAAGTATAATAAACAAAAAATAAAAAATACAAAATACAAAAAAAACTGCATTAACATAGATGTTGCAATTTTTTTCAGGAATTATCTAATTGAAGGGGTGGTTAACAGAATTTAGGAAGGAACACATATTACCTGTGTAAATGGAGAATTTTAATTGTCAACAACTGAATAGAAAATTGGGCAGGTGTGCACATATATATATATATATACACATATATGAGAGAGAGTGAAAAAACTCAATTAAAAAATACCAGACCACAGATTTATATCTCTTAATGCCAAATTGGGAAAGACTTTTTTTTTTTTTTTTTTTTTTGAGATGGAGTCTTGCTCTGTCGCCCAGGCTGGAGTGCAGTGGCACGATCTCGGCTCACTGCAACCTCTGCCTCCCAGGTTCACGCCATTCTCCTGCCTCAGCCTCCCGAGTAGCTGGGACTACAGGCGCCCGCCACTGTGCCCAGCTAATTTTTTGTATTTTTAGTAGAGACAGGGTTTCACCGTGTTATCCAGGATGGTGTCGATCTCTTGACCAAGTGATCCACCCGCCTCGGCCTCCCAAAGTGTTGGTATTACAGGCGTGAGCCACTGTGCCCAGCCCCTGGAAAAGACATTTTTAAAAACAGAATATGTTAGGAAGAATAAAAAGGAATGAGCATAAGGCTTTCCTTCCTGGTGCCACCTAAGTGTTCACAGTAAATGAAAATAAATGAGTCTTTTACACTGGTAGCCAAAGTCCTTTGACAAAGCTTTGTCACGGTGTCAGTGCTATATGATTGTTCAATTAATAAATCTGGAAAGATGTGCAGAAACTTAACAGTTGTTACTTCCAGAGGCAGAAGCTGGCAGGCTACAGAAGAGGAAAAGACAAGTCCAGATTTCGGTGTGCATTCTTCTGTACCTCGTGAATGTCCTACAAGTGTGTTATTCCTGATGTCTTTACTGTGATTATTTTTAAATAAAAAAAACTAATACCCCCAAATGCTGGTAGAAAACAAACATTTCAATTTGCTAATGCTTCACAGGGACAAGAATTCAGGTAAGACACAGAAAAGATAGCTTATTGCTCCTTGTTGATGTCTGGGGACTGCAGAGAAGTCTTACGGAGCGGGACTGAATCCACAGCAGGAGGTTGGAATCATCTGGATATGCCGTCATGCACAGGTCTGCAGAGGAACTTGGGCTTGGCTGGAGAACTTACACGACTACCACCCACACTTCCACACCCGCTCAGCCCAGCTGCAGCAGCTTGGCCAAGATAATGGGCGCTCCTGCTCAAACGAGATTTCCCAGCTTTTGCGGAGTTCATCACCAGCCTCGCTAGCAGCGAATTCCCACTTCTATGCAAAGGAAACTGCCAACGAGGTTACAATCAATTTTTTTTTTCCTAGAGTGAGGCCTGGCCGGAAAAGGGCAGGCCATCCTAGTGGCCTGTGAATGACCTTGTGAGGGTCACCAGGCCCCCTCGGCTGCAGGGCTCCAGAGCCCTCCCCTGGCCGACTGCATCATGCACTGGCCCTAGCCTGGGGTGATGAGGCCAAGGCATCACCAGCTTTGACCCTGATGCCTCTGGCCTGGGCAACTGTCCCCTGTGCACTCAGCAATGCACATGCTAATTTAATCCAATCTGTCAGCCCAGGCACCTGGAGCGGAAATGGCCGGCCCACTTTTGCCCCACCCCAGCCCCTTTTCAACATTAACCTTGAGAGTCCGTGGCGCGTTCTTTGTGAGTGGGCCAGCTCCAGGTGCTTCACCCACATCGCGTACTTCATCAAAACCACTGTCAGAGGTAGGGCCTGTTAGGATCACTGTCTCACAGAGGAGGAAACTGAGGCAGAGACCGGGTAGGTACCCCAACTGAGGACACACAGAGAATAAGCTAGGATGGAACCTGCTGGCAGGCCCGGACTCCTCTGCTCAGTGACAGCCACGCAGAGAAGCCAGGGCACCTTAAGCTGCCATCCCTGTGCCACTTACCCACCTGCTTGTGGCCCAGGCCAAAAACATCCCCATAAATAACCATCCGCAGCTGCCCTCAGCCTCCTCTAGAAGGCAGGTGCCCCAGAAGCTTCCTCACAAGCTCTTTGACATTTCAGCGATATGTGGGTGGCTGAGGAGCCCTGAAACCAGGTGAAGGTCTGGGAAGGTGAGACGGGGGATTTAGCTCAGGCAGTGCCCTCTGGCAGGGGCAGGCACTGCAATGGGCACCTACTTGGGAGGAACACCTGACGTGGTTTTCCCGATGCTCGATGCTCGGGGCCTCACACTCATCCTTGCTGGACATAGAGAACTAACTGAGCTTCGAGGGGTCCTTCCCTCAGACCTGCCAGGTCCTGGTGCCACCAAACACTTAAGAATGTGGACGTGACAAAGTTAAAGAGGTGAGTGCCTGTGCACACCAGTGACATGGGACTTACAGCTGGGGACGGGTCAGGGCAGCCCTGGTGGAGCAGCTGCCATATGGGGCACCCCCTGCAGTGACAGTATCAGATGTGTCTCCACCTTCCCAGGGTAGACTGTGGGGTAAAGCTGGGCTCCTCTGAGACCCACTGCAGCTCTGGGGCAGAAAGGGGTCTGGATATATCGTCATCACAGGCTGAGAGGAGCAATGTGGGTGATGTGGCAGTCAAGGTCCCAGGCGGGGCTGACATGGACTCCGGAGCAGAGTCCAGGGGGAGCTTGGGAAGTGAGCACAAAAAGGCCTGAGGGTCTGTTGGGGTGGAGGGTAAAAAGAAATCTGGAAACCTCTAGAGCAGATTCCAGCCCAGCACAGACTGAAGGTCACACAAGCCCAGGGCACAGCCAGGCAGCCCAGTGCTGGGGCACAAGTCACCTGCATCTGCACACTGCTATACAACCTCAGAAACCTCAATTAAAACAGACCTCAACTTCAAGAGCAAAAATTTCCATAGCTGCTCTGGGCCCAGTGAGATGGCATGTGAACATGTGGCCTGGGGCCAAGGAGGATAGCTGTGAACACCTGTGCCGGGACCAAGGAGAATGGCTGTGGACACCTGGGCTAGGCCCAAGAGGACAGCTTGGAATAACTGGGATGGGCCCAGAACGTAGGGCTACGAACACCTGGGCTGGCCCCAATGTGGACAGCTAGAAACCGCTGGTATGCGCTCAGGAGTTCTGTTCATTTTGGCTGAGCCAAAGGAAGACACGTGTGAACATCTGCACTGGGCCTAATTAAGACAACGGTGAACAGATGGGCTGTCCCCATTGAGGATGTCTGTGAAACCCTGGCCTGGGACCATGGAAACTGCTGGAAACAACTGGGAGAAGTCCTGTGACAAAAGCCATGAACACCAGGGCTAGGCTCAATGGGGACAGGTGTGGACACCTGGGCTGGGCCCAGTGTGGATGGCTGTCGGTACCTGGGATGGCCTCTATGAGGGTGGCTGGCTCCAATTAGCACACGTGTAAGCAAACTGGCTGGCCTTGATGAGGACGGCTAGGGACATCTGGGCTGGCTGTCACGTGGATGACAGAGATCTTCTTGGCTGGCTTAGATGAGGACCACTGTGAACACCGGCGCAGGCCTGGATGAAGACAGCTGGGAAGCCCTGGGCTGGAAACAATGAAGACAGCTATGAACAGGTGGCCTGGGGCCAGTGAAAATGGCTCTTAACCCTGGGCTTGATGTTACTGAGGGGTAGCGTGAACTCCTGGGCTTGCCTTGATATTGACAGCCATCAAAAACTGTTGCTATAATAAACTGAGTTCATACAAACAAGGAAGGCTGTGAACCCCTGGGCTGACCTTGATGGGGATGGCTGCAAACACCTGGCCTGGGCCCAGTGAGGACAGCTATGAAGTGCTAGGCAGGGCCCAGCGAGGTCAGCATGGAACTCCTGGGCTGGCCCAATAAGGATGTCTGTGAACACTGGTCTGGCCCACTGAGGACAAGGACTAACACCTGGGCTAGCTACCAATGAGGATGGCTGTGAACGCCTTGGCTGGGCCCTCTAAGGACAGCTTGGAGTGTTTGGACTCGGCCCAGAGTAAACAGCTGTGAAGCCCTGAGCTGGGCCCAGTGAGGGTGGCTATGGAAACCTGGGCTGGGCCAGTGAGGACAGCTGTGAACACCTGGCCTGGGTCCAACGAGAACAGCTGAGAACACTTGGGCTAAGCCAATAAGGACAGCTGTGGCACCGGGGACGATTGCCCTGAAGACAGCTGTTAACATCGTGGCTGGTCGCCTTGAGCACAGCTATGAATGTCTAGGCTGGGCCCAATGAAGACAGCCGAAAACACCTGCCCTGGTTTCAGTGAGAGCCACTGTGAGCACTTGGGCCTGTCCCCATGAGGATGCCTATGAACAGCTGGCTGGGCCCAAGATGAATGGCTCTTGACACCTAAACTCAGCCCTAGAAAGATGCTGTGAACAACTGGGCTAATCCCACTGATGACGACTATTAACACCTGGGCTGGGCCCAAGTGAGGGCGACTTCGGCTGGACCCGGAAAAAATGGCTGTGAACACCTTGGCTTTGCCTGATGAAGATGGCTATGAACCCATGGCCTGGGCCCAATGAGGAAAGCTGTGAACACCTGCGCTAGCCCCAGTGAGGGAAGCTGGGAAAACCTGGGCTGGGCCCAGTAAAAGCAGCAGCGAACAACCAGGCTGGCCTCAGGAGGACAGCTTTGAACACTGAAACTGATCATGATGAGGATGGCTGTGGATACCTGGGCTGGCCCAGATGAGGAGCACCATTAACTCCTGGGCTCGCCCCCAATTAGAACAGCCATGAACACCTGGTCTTGCTCAAG
Organism: Homo sapiens; assembly: GCF_000001405.40. Taxonomy (NCBI): domain Eukaryota; kingdom Metazoa; phylum Chordata; class Mammalia; order Primates; family Hominidae; genus Homo; species Homo sapiens. The sequence continues at coordinate 178,019,058 of NC_000005.10, read as the reverse complement.
TAATGATTGCAAGGAACAACTAGGCTCAGCCAATGAGGACAGCTGTGAACCCCTGCACTGAGACAAATGAGGATGGCTGGGAACACCTCAGCTGGCCCCAGCGAGGATGGCTATGGATACCTGAGCTGTGCTCCATGGGGATGGCAATGTACACCAAGGTTCGGCCAAGTGACAGTTCTGAGAAACCTGGCTGACACCAGTGAAGACCGCTGTGAAAGCATGGGCTGCTCCCAGTTAAGACAGCTTTGCATACCCGGTCTGGGCCCAGTCAGATCGAGTGTCAACATCTGGCCTGGGGCCAAGGAGGATAGCTCTGAACACCTGTGCTGGACCATTGAGGATGGCTGTGGACACCTGGGCTGGGCCCAAGGAAACAGCTTGGAATAACGGATTGGCCCAGAATGCATGGCTACCAACACCTGGGCTGACCCCAATGTGGAAAGCTATAAATACGTGATGTGGGCTCAGGAGAACAGCCTTGTTCCTTTTGGCTGAGCCCTGTGAGGCAGCTATGGGCATCTGCACTTGGCCTAATTAAGACAACGGTGAACATCTGGGCCATCCCCATTGAGGACACCTGTCAACACCTGGCCTGGGACCATGTGAATTGCTCAGAACACCTGGATTAAGTCCAGTGAGGAAAACTATGAACACCCGGGCTATGCCCACTGAGGACAGCTGTGGACACATGGGCTGGCCCCAGTGAGGATGCCTGTAAATACCTGAGACGACCTCTATGAAGGTGGCTGGCCCCAATAAGCACGAGTGTGAACAAACTGGCTGGCCTCGATGAGGACGGCTAGGGACATCTGGGCTGGCTATCGTGTGGATGGTAAGAGAACACCTTGGCTGGCTTAGATGAGGACCACTGCGAACACCTTTGCAGGCCTGGATGAAGCCAGCTTTGAAGCCCCGAGCTGGGCACAATGAAGACAGGTATGAACAGGTCATCTGGGGCCAATGAAAACGGCTCTCAAACCCTGGGCTTGATGCCATTAAGGAGAATGGCGAACACCTGGGCTTGCTTTGCTTTTGATTGCTATGAAAAAC